>NC_000006.12:13544848-13696363 GCF_000001405.40 Homo sapiens
GAACATTCAACTGGTAAAGGAAAAACGCCTCAAGGGAGCGTGCTACAACTCCAGTAAACACACTGTGCATGGAGCCCCTCCCGAGTGCTGGCAGGCCACTGCACATGTGGAATGCCAATGTATAAAACCCCAAGTCAAAGGTCACACCATGCACTTGAATCTCTCAAGTCACCTGTTTGGCCCTCTTCCAAGTATACTTTACTTCCTTTCGTTCTGGCTCTAAAACTTTTTAGTAAACTTTCACTCCTGCGCTAAAACTTGTCTCGGTCTCTCCCTCTGCTTTATGCCCCTCGGTCGAGTTCTTTCTTCTGAGGAGGCAAGCATTGAGGTTGCTGCAGACCCGTATGAATTCACCACTGCTAACATTACAACTCCATTCCTTTTTATGGCTGAAAAATATTTTGTTGTATATATATACATACATATATATTATTATATACATATATACATATTACAATATACATATATACACATACACCACATGATGTTATATTATATACATAGGTACACATACTACATGACGATTATTCAATCATCTATCATTGGACATGCATTGCTTTCACCTTTTGGCTATTGTAAATAGTGCTGCTATGCACATCAATGTACAAGTATCTGTTCCAGCCCCTGCTTTCAATTGCTTTGTGTATACACCTAGGAGTAGAACCGCTAGATCATATGTTAATTATGTTTAATTCTGTTAAATTTTTTGAACTGCCAAATTATTTTCCATAGCACTTCACCATTTTCCATTCCCACCAGCAACCCAGGAAGATTTCTGCTTTTCCACATCCATGCCAGCATTTATTTTCTGTTTTTTTTTTTTTCATAATAGCCTTCCTAATGGGTATGATGTGGCATTTCACTGTGGTTTTGATTTGTGTTTCCCTGATGGCTAGTGATGTTAAGCATCTTTTCATGAGCTTATTGACCATTTATGTATCTTCTCTGGAGACACGCCTATTCAAGTCCATTGCCCATTTTATGAATTTAGGTTTTTTGGTTTTTGTAGGAGTTCTTTATATATCCTGGGTATAAATCCCTTATCAGATATGTGATTTGCAAATATTTTCTTTCATTCTGTGGGTTGCTTTTTCACTCTCTTGACAGTATCCTTTGATGCATTAACAGGATTAGATTCTGGATATATTCACTGACTTATTCAGCTTGTATTAATTGAGTGCCAGCTTTGTCCCAGGAGCTCTGGAGGCACTAGAGATTTAGCAGGGAAAAAGGCATGCTTGGTCTCAGGGTGAGAGAAAAGGAGGGTGGATAAAGGCATTTAGAAAATCCCTTTTTAACACTATAGCCTGCCTCCCATGGCTGAAATCTTGCTGCATAATCCTGTTTTCCATGTCAGAAGCAGAGAATTACCTTTCTCTTTGCCTTATTGGTGTTAACAAATTTCACTTCTCCCTAGGCAGAAAGATGGCTTGAGCCACTTGAGGCCCAGATCTTTGGTGATGTTGCAGAAGGCAATAAAGACCTAGCTTTTTTCTCTATGGAATACAGTGAGCCTCTGAAGAGGCCTGCACAATGGAGGAGCTCTAGAACTTAAATTTCATTTGCTTTAAAATAAATGTACTTCTGGGCTTCTGAGCCACTTTGAGAACATTTCTGAGGACAAAAATCAATGCTGCCTGCCAATATAGCCAACAGCTGCTGCAAAACAGCAGGGCCTGGTTTTGAAGGAAGGTAGGAGCAGGACCTCCCTGATCCACTGTGGTCTTCTCCTCCAAGGGGACCAACAGCATTCTTTTGACCGTAGATTTAATGGTTATGCCCAACAAGTTATTGGAGCAAAATGCTGGGGAAGGTAATGTAAACCAAAAATAAAATTCTAAGCCCTCCAACCATTTGAATGGACCCTTTTTCTCAGCCAAGGGCATTCTAAAGTTAACCTGAAAAACTAGTTGAGGCCATGACAGGAAGCGGGAGTTGGGCATGTCTCATTATTCCCTCCTCCCTTTTGTAATTCAGACACATCTGATCAACAGTAACATTAAAACACATCTTAAGGGTGATAGAAGAGACTCTAAGTCTGATAAGAAATGGTTACAATCTATTCTCTCTGAAGCCTCCTACCTGGAGGCTTCATCTGCATGATGAAACCTTGGTCTCCACCACCCCTTATCTTTACCCAGACATTCCCTTCTACGGATTCCAGGTCTTTAGATAATAACTCAACCAATTTCCAATGAGAAAATCTTTGAATCTGCCTATGACTGGAAGCCCCCACTTCCAGTTGTCCTGCCTTTCTGGACCAAACCAATGTACATCTTATATGTATTGATTGATGTCTTATGTCTCCCTAAAATGTATAAAACCAAGTTGTAGGCTGACTCCCTTGGGCACATGTTCTCAGGATCTCCTGACAGCTATGTCACAGGCCATTGATCACTCATATTTGGCTCATAATAAATCTCATCAAATATTTTACAGAGTTTAATTTTTTTCATCGACAGTAGGAGAGACAATCCTCTAACTCCATTTTTCTGGTACTGTGAAGAGGGATTTTTTTTCCCAAACAGTCTTGCCACACCTTCCTCATTGATTCTCAGGAAAGAGAATCAGCAAAGTGATGAATTTGATACAAGTAATCCCTTTGTGCCTTTTTCTTTGGGAAAATGATTTACACAGAAGTCATCGTCCCTTTTATATTTGGTTTAAGATCAAGCTCAAGATCTCCAAGTAAAGTTTTGTTGCTAATGAAAAATGTTGTGCAATTGAGGGAAATTTTATTTAACCACGCTGGAAGACTGAATTGTCTTTCTATTCTTTCTACATAAAATGATATTATAAAACCATTGTTTTGTGAAGGGGTAATCAAAAAGTATGCAGCCAAAATAATGTAGAGAGGATGTGAGGCCAATCTGGCTGCGACATCTGTCACCCCACTAATCGTCAGGGTTGATTCGGCTGATCTGGCTGGCTAGGTGGGTGTCCCCTTCCTCCCTTACCACTCTATGTGTGTCCCTCCTGAAGCTGCGCACTCGGTCGAAGAGGACAACCGTCCCTGATAGAGGAGGACCGGTCTTCAGTCAAGGGTATACAAGCAGCTGCGCTCCCCTGCTAGAACCTTCAAACAAGCTTTCAAAATAATGTAGAAGAGTGACAATATTTATTAATATGTATTTAATAAATATATTTTTTGGTTAAAAATAATATTAACATGTCAATTTCTAGATGAGCAGTATTTGTGGTCTTTGTCAGTTTTATAAAATCATAACTTGTTGTGATTTCTCTTTTCTTTTTTTGTTTTTTTTTTTTTTTGAGACAGAGTCTCGTTCTGTTGCCCAGGCTGGAGTGCAGTGGCACCGTCTCAGCTCACTGCAAGCTCTGCCTCCCGGGTTTACACCATTCTCCTGCTTCAGCCTCCCGAGTAGCTGGGACTACAGGCGCCCGCAACCTCACCCGGCTAATTTTTTGTATTTTTAGTAGAGACAGGGTTTCATCGTGTTAGCCAGGATGGTCTCAATCTCCTGACCTCATGATCCGCCAGCCTCGGCCTCCCAAAGTGCTGGGATTACAGGCGTGAGCCACCGTGCCCGGCTGTGACTTCTGTTTTCAATCTAAACAAATATTCACTTTCATATCTACTTTGATATTCATAATTTTGTTCTTAAAAGTTTCCCTCATATTGTATACACATCAGGCCTCACAAAACCTAGATCCATCCCCCCCACCCCCACATTAATCAAATTAACTCTGAGGTACTAAAAAGCTATAAATCTACTTCCTCTTCTATTTTCCATCCCAAATTAAGTTCATCATGTTGTTCAGTACAGCCTACCAAAGGTTGTGCAGTGAGCTCAAATGACATCATAATGACAATAAAATGCCAACAACACATGCCTCCTGTCATGAAGTCACCATGGATTCAAAGTTCAAAGATTAAAATCTCAAAGAAGTTAAAGTCCAGGAATTTTATGTTACAGTTCAAAGGAATTAATCCAATATGTTTACCCTTGTGAATTAAAGTGTAAAGTCCAAATCCCTTAGGTTAACTAAAAAAGAAACTAAAGGTGGCACACGCATGCTCTCCCAGCTATTTGGAAGGCTGAGAGGGGAGCATCACTTGAGCCCAGGATTTTGAAACCAGCCTGAGCAATAGAGTAAGAGTCTATCTCTAAAAAAAGGAAAGAAAGAAAGAGATATGGTTTGGATTTGTGTTCCCGCCCAAATCTCATGTCGAATTGCAATCCCCAGTGTTGGAGGAGGGGCCTGGTGGGATGTTGGAGGAGGGACCTGGTGGGATGTTGGAGGAGGGGCCTGGTGGGAGGTGATTGGATCATGGGGGTGAACTGACCCCTTGCTGCTCTCGTGATAATGAGTTAGTTCTCACTTGATCTGGTTGTTTAAAAGTGTGTAGCAGCACCTCCTCCTTCACTCTCTTCCTCCTGCTCCAGCCATGTCAGATGTGCCTGCTTCCCCTTTGCCTTCCACCACAATTGTAAGTTTCCTGAGGCTTCCCCAGCCTGCTTCCTGTACAGCCTGCAGAACTGTGAGCCAATTAAACCTCTTTTCTTTATAAATTACCCAGTCTTGGGTATTTCTTTATAGCAGTGCAAGAACAAACTAACACAGAAAGAAAAGAAATTAAAATCTTCCCCAATTTCTTCTACTCATTTCCCACCAGAGGGCTGTTGGTGACTGGGCAGATGGAGGTACTCCTCTAGAAGCCCAGCCTGGGACGATCATGTTCTTTCAGGATGCCCAAAACATCATTCATCCGATCACTTTTCAGAACATCTGAAGTGTTCACAAGAGGCAAGGCTATGGTGGCACTGGTCCTGTATCTATTAATTGGCAAAACAAAAACAAAAAACCAAGTCAGGCCCTGGCCCTTAGTTATCCAGGCAAAAATTATGATCTAGAAACCAATACCTTGGTGTTGCCAAAGACACTGATAGCTGAGTGGAGCAGGAGAAGGCAGAGAAAGTCTTGGTGTCGGCCACACCAGGCAAAAACTAGTTAATCCTAGTTATACAGGATCTATGACTTGTGCCCTTTAGCTTAATGGGGAGACTCTTCCTACCAAGAAATTAATGAGAGCACTCTATTTACCAATGGAGAGGGTTATTTACGTTTGTTGTTTCTTTTAAAGAATATTAAAGAGTAGCGTTCAAGGCATCCCTACTTTCTTACAAAGGTTAGAAATTTACAAACTGTCCCCCAATCATTGCATCTTATTCTTATCTTTTTTTTTTTTTTTTTCAGATGGAGTCTCGCACTGTCACCTGGGCTGGAGTGCAGTGGCACCATCTTGGCTTACTGCAACTTCCACCTCCCAGGTTCAAGCGATTCTCCTTGCCTCAGCCTCCCAAGTAGCTGGGATTACAGGTGCCCGCCACCACACCCAGCTAATTTTTTTGTATTTTTAGTAGAGATGGGGTTTCACTATGTTGGTCAGGCTGGTCTCGAACTCCTGACCTCGTGATCCGTCCACCTTGGCCTCCCAAAGTTCTGGTATTACAGACATGAGCCACTGCGCCCAGCCTTCTTATCTTTTTTGTTTTTTTCTCTGATATATTGAAAAACTCTAAAAACCTATTGTATTTCCCCTGTGAATATTAACCATTTAAAGCTAGTAGTTAATACATAAATACTCTGTATCATACATGGAATTCACCTGTGGTTTAAAGTTCTGACCTGCAGATCTGGCTGAAAAACACAATAAAAGCAGCAAATGATTGTTCCATCCATAATGACTAAAAGTCTGTATATAGAAAGATACTTTTCTTCATAATTTGGTGTTTCTCACCTTTGCTGCTCAATAGAATTACCTGGGAAACTTTGAAGAAACACTAAAACCTGGGCTCCACTCCAGAGAAATTAAATCAGAATTTGGAGATGGGGAGGGTGAAGTGGAGGGATATAATCATATGCTTAATAAGTTTCCCCAATCAATTTTAATGTACAGCCACATCTAAGAACCATAAGTCCTGCTGAGGCCTGCTGCAGCCACTGACTTCCTTATCTTTCACTATTCCTTGGTTTATTTCCTCATTTTGATAGAGAACATCCTCCAAGTAACCCTCTCAGAAAGGTGTGTGCATCAGATATAAATTTTTCTGAGTCCTTAAATGTCTAACTAAAATGTCTTTATTTGGTTCTTACTCTTGACTAGTAGTTTGCCTGTGCACAGAAGTTTATGTGGAAAATAATTATTCTTCAGAATTTTAAGGCATTGCTCAAGAATCCTGTGTTGTTCTTAGAGATTCTTCAAGAACCCTGCGGAGCTGTTGAGAAGCCTAATGCTATTGTAATTTTCATTAATTTGATTGTGACCTATTATTTTTTCTGGAAGGTTTTATAATCTTTATCTCTGGTGTTTTCAAATTATTCCTGGGGAGAGGGCGGGAATAAGGAGGGAGAGGGAATATGTGTTTACATATTGTGTTGGGAATATACTGGGCTGTTTTAGTCAGGAAGCTCATGTTAAACATTTAAAAAATTATTTCCTTATTAATTTCCTTTCCTTCATTTTCTCTGTGTTCACTTTCTGGAATGCCTACTAGTTGATCATTTGACCTCCTGAGTTGAGCTTTCAGATATTTTTTTTCTCTCTCAAATTTTCTTTTTGTCCATTTTTTTCTGAAAGATTTATTTGATTATTTTCAAACTTCATCATTAATTTTTATTTCAGCCAACATTCTTAATCTGTTTTTAATGCTATTTCAGTAAACATAACCATTTTTTTCTGGAAATATTGGAGTTGATTTTGACATTCATCTGGGAAAATAAATAAGCAAGAAAAGCCAGAGAAATTCTAAGAGGAAACACATTGAGAGAGGACAAGTCCTACCAGATATTAAAACACACAAAGCCTTAGTAATAAAAACAGTATGGTATTATGCATGAAAGACAGGCAGATCCATGGAGTAGAATAGAAGGCCCACAGAGAGATTCAACCTTACAGAGAAATTTAATATATGACAAAGGTGTCATCTCCAGTTCATGGAATAAAGACCAACTTTTTAGCAAAAGGTATTGGGGTAATTGGTCAGCCATTTGAAATAAGATAGAGCTAGATCCACACTTCACACCATATGGCCAGGTAGACTCAAAATGGATCAAAGATTTAAATGTAAGTAATTAAACTGCAAAATATATGAATATCTAATAAAAGAGAATAGGGTAAACTCTTTAAGGGACAGAGAAGGCATTTTTAATTATGATTTGGAATTCAGAAGTCATCAAAGAAAAGATTGATAACCACATAAAATAACAAAGACTTTTACGTGGCAAAAACATCAAAAGTGCAATCAAAAGACAGAGTAGGAAAATATTTGTAAATTGTATCACAAAGGGCTAATCTCCCTTTATAGTGTTCCTAGAAATCAAGACAAAAATAAAAAGTAGAAGCAATGGAGAGTTCATGGAAGAAAGAACTATAAATGACCCTTAAACATATAAAAATATGAACAATTTCACTTATAATAAGAAAAATATAGATATAAACTATACCAAGCTGCCATTTTTTCCCTAATATGGTGGGGGGGAAAAGAATCCTAAATATTTGACATCATATTTTGTTGGGAAGGCTGAAGAGAAATAGGCACTCCTGTATTTTCTTTTTTTCTTTCTTTCTTTCTTTCTTTCTTTCTTTCTTTCTTTCTTTCTTTCTTTCTTTCTTTCCTTCTTTCTTTCTTTCCCTTTCTCTCTTTCTCTCTTTCTTTCTCTCTTTTTTTTCTTTTCTTGAGACTGAATCTTGCTCTGTCATCCAGGCTGGAGTTCAGTGGCGCGATCTTGGCGGCTCACTGCAACCTCTGCCTCCCCGGTTCAAGCGATTCTCTTGGCTCAGCCTCCTGAGTAGCTGGGATTACAGGTGCCCGCCACCATGACAGCTACTTTTTGTATTTTTAGTAGAGATGGCATTTCACCATGTTGGCCAGGCTGGTCTTGTATTTTCTTATTGCAAAATCATACAACTCCTTATGGAGGGGGATCTGGCAACAGCTACCAAAAATACAGACATATTTTCTGCTCTGAGAATATATCCTACACAATCTCATACATAAGTATGAAAGAACATATGTACGAGTCTATTCACTGTGGCATAATATGTAAAATTTAAAGATTATAAACCACCCAGGCATTGAACAGTCAAATACTGGCTGAACAAACTAGGGTACACCAATTTGATGGAGCTGTAAAAAGAAATATGGTAGATCTCATGCTGATGCAGAGAGATCACAGACTGTATTGTTAAGTGATGAAAGCAAAATTCAGAACAGTGTACAGAATATTATTTGATTGAATGTATATAGTATGCTACCTTTAGTGTAAAAAGGAGGGAATAAGAATATATATTGTATTTAGGCTGGGTGTGGTGGCTCACATCTGTATTCCCAGTACTTTGTGAGACCGAGTTGGGTGGATCACTTGTGGTCAGGAATTCAAGACCAGCCTGGCCAACATGTCCAAACCCCATCTGTACTAAAAATACAAAAAAAAAAAAAAAAAATAGCCAAGCATGGTGGTGCATGTCTGTGGTCCCAGATACTTGGGTGGCTGAGGCAGGAGAACTGCTGAGGTGAAGACTGCAGTGAACTGAGATTGTGCCACTGTACCCCAGCCTGGATGACAGAGCAAGACTCAGTCTCAAAAAAAAAAAAAAAGAATATATATTGTACTTAAAGAAATACTAGAAATGAGAAATTCATAAAAATACTCTCTTTTGGAGGAATGATTAATCAATATTTGATTTCTCTAAGGATGTTACACAGATTTGAGTAAGTTGTGGGTTTTTTTGTTTTTCTGTGTCCTGAATTATTTACTTTGGTCTTCGTATCAGTTAAGAATGCTTTCAGCTACAAGTTACAAAAAACTTAAACAAAAAGGAGTTTATTTTTCTCTTATCACAAGAAATACAGTAATAGGTAGATGTTGGCATTGGTTAATGCCAACCAGATATTGGCTGGTAGCACTAGAGTTCTTTTGGCTTTTTCCTCATGACCATAAGATTGTTGCCATAGCTCCAAGCATCACATCTGCATTCATAGCAAGAAAAAATAATGGAAAAGGGAATGCCAGCCATTTCTGGCATGGCCCAATGATGATTCATCATCTAGAACTGTGCACATTACTACCCTGAATACATTTAGGGCTTTGTTAAAAGAAAGAAACGAGACCAGCAGGATAGGCTATAGTCTATCTCTGTCATATTGGGAGATTTCCCTCCTAAATCACTGGTTGTCCATTTTTATCCAAGAGTGAGGCATCAAAAATTGTTAGTGGGAAGCAATCTTCCATTGGGTGAGGCTTATTGCAGGGCAGGCCTCTTGCTAGGATGATCAACCAGAGGGTCTGCCCTCTTTTTTTGCAGAATCCCAAATATCAATGTGATGAGGTGGTTTCTGTGTCCCCAGTCAGTTTCTCCAGAGAGAAATTCTTCCCTGCAGGTCTGCCTTGGGGCAGAGGTGGCTGGGGAGCATGCAAGATGGAGGGGCTCGGGGGTGAGACTATTCCAAATCTCCAGCTTTCAGAATCATTAGACTGGGCAGACGATCAATCCCGCTGATGAGAAACCCAAGCCCCAGAACTGTCCCCCAAGTTCCTGGTATTTTTAAGGCAGTGGTTTTCAACTGGGAATGATTTTGTTCCCCAGGTAAGGTTGCCAGATTGAGCACATAAAAATTCATGGTGCTCAGTTAAATTTAAATTTCAGAAAACAACAGAAAATTTGTTTGCATAAGTACCTTCCAAATATCACATTATTTATCTGAAATACAAATTTAATTGGGCACCTTGTATTTTATCTGCCTCCTGGAAGACATTTGGCAATGTCTGGGGATGTTTTTGGTTGTTACAGCTTGGGGTGGGGGTCTCTACCTGGTGGATAGAGACCAGGGATGCTGGTAAATATCTCACAACACACAGAACAGCCTCTTAAAACAAATAATTATCTGGCCCTACATGCCAATTGTTCCAAGGTTGAGAAACCTCACTCTAAGGCAAAGCTCTTGTGCCTGGGTTGGGGCACATTCATCTGTTTTATAAATCTCAGCATGATCTTTTTTCCATGGTCACAGCAAAGACTGAAATAGTCTTTCTTGTTAGTTTTCTTCTCTATCTAATAGGCACTGCAAGGAAGTGCTGGCCAAGAGGAGACAGCATTTATCTCAAGTTCAGGGGCATGAAGGCCAGCCTGCCTATGCTCCTTGAGCCTTTTCGTGGTAAATCCCAGGCTCAGAGCCTGCCTCACCACGCAGCTGGGAAGAGCTGGGCTGGGGATGGGGTTGGCGCCAGGCTTGCCCAGCTCCTCCAGGCGGGAGTTCTACCTTCCCAGCCCATGGGAGGGAGGGAAGCCACATGCAGCTGCCTTTCCATGAAGAGCCGCTTTCTTTGCAGGCGCCAGGGTGGAGGGGAGCAGGCAGCGCTAGGTGGGGACAGTATGACGTGGCTGTGAATCAAACAACTTTTAAAAAGACTGGAGAGGAAGGAAGCAATGGGTGGAGAAAGTTCTGAATGTTTTCTGGTTATGGGATGTGTATAAATTCATGGGAGGTTATTTGAGGATATTTATCCCAAGCCTTATTCGCGGTTGTCCTTGAAATGAATACCAGAACATTAGAATTCAGGGATAGTCGTGACTTTTCTACAATGACTTGCCCCCATTTTCTTCCCTCCCCACAGATCCCTGTATTCCACATCACACCTGTGAGGATATGTGCAAACAGAGCGAGCATGCACCCTTATCCCCAAAATGTGTAGACGATGGTCCTGGGAAAAGAATGACTAGCAGAGTTTTTCCCTATAGTTTATTTTTCAGTAAAGAATATGACAACTTAAAAACAAAAACAAAAATACCACTTACCTCTAACTCAAGGATAAAGAAGGGAGTTTTTTTGAGAATGTAAAAATAAAAATCCATTTGGGCGTTCATTAAGTAAAGCAAGATGAATCAGGCTTTTGGTTATATAAAAGCTCGGCTTTTTATGGAAAATCTGTCTTTGCAGTTCTCTGCTTGCGGGAGAAAAGAATGCAAGAAGCACAAGAAGACAGGCCATGGAGGCAGCTTTATAAACACTAGAAAAGCCCTTTTTAGGCTCAGCTGTGTCCTGGCATGGCCTAGATAGCAGAGTGGGGGGAGAGGAGCTGGGGGCTTGAGGGTGGCAACCCCTCCCTTTTCCATGACCAGTGAAGTCACTGAATTTACTGCCAAATAATGTTTGTAATGTCTACCTGAACTTTGGTGGCAATCTATTTCTGCCACTCATCTTTGGAAACTATTGTTATAAACTTAACTAAATTTTTTAAAAAAGAAAGAAAAGAACCCAGCTTTTTTCATCCATTATAAAAGTAGTGGAGATATAGAAGGGTTGAAACATATTTGAACCTATAGTTAATCACTTACAGACACCACCCCTGACTTTGACCTGTTTCTTTCTAGGGTTTCCTGTAGGCTTAGCTTTTGAATTTAAATACTTGTGATGACTCCTTAAATGCAAGGTTATATCTCACTCTAAAAAAAAAAAAACAAGGTGGCCGGGCACGGTGGCTCACGCCTGTAATCCCAGCACTTTGGGAGGCCGAGGCAGGTGGATCACGAGGTCAAGAGATCGAGACCATCCTGGCCAACATGGTGAAGCCCCGTCTCTACTAAAAATACAAAAATTAGCTGGGTGTGGTGGTGCATGCCTGCAGTCCCAGCTACTCACTCGGGAGGCTGAGGCAGGAGAATCGCTTGAACCCAGGAGGCGGAGGTTGCAGTGAGCCAAGATGGTGCCACTGCACTCCAGCCTGGCAACAGAGCGAGACTCCATCTCAAAAAAAAAAAAAAAAAGCTATAATGTATTAAGCATTTGATATTTTCCAGACATTTTGCTAAGCACTTTGTGTACATAATTATATATCCATATAGATATATATTTTAGAGACAGTATCTCCCTCTGTCCCAGGCTGTAGTACAGTGGCACAATCATAGCCCCCTGCAGCCTCAAACTGCTGGGCCCAAGTGATCCTCCCAACTCAGCCTCCTGTGTAGCTGGGACTATAGGAGTGCACCACCAATTCGACTAATTTTTTTGTATTTTTGTTTGTTTTTTGTAGAGGGTCTTGCTATGTTTCCCAGGCTGATCTCTAAATCCAGGCTTCAAACAACCCTCCTGCCTCGGCCTCCCAAAGTGCTGGGCTAATTTTACCTAATGATCAAAACAAACTGATGGAAAGACAGTTTTGTTACTTCACATTTTACAGATGAGAAATGGAATCTCTTACTAGCCACAGAGCTAGAAAATGGCACAACCAGGCATATCATGCATTTTTCACTTAATATTGAACATGACCTTTACCATGTTATAATAACTCTACTTAAACATAATTGTAGCTGTTGTCCAATGTTTTGAGTTGCTTTATCACAATTTATGAGATCATTCACCTATTAATGGACATTTGGGTTACTTTCCATTTTTTCTGGTTATAGATAATGTTGAACTTGTGATTGTGGATAATGCAATGAACATCTTTGAGCAAAACTATATTTAGATTTAGATTTTCTTTAGGATAGATGGATTTCTAAAAATGAAAATGGAATTGCTATAAATGTTTCAAGTAGCTTTACATATAGAGAGTCATACTAATGTCCAACTAGAC
Organism: Homo sapiens; assembly: GCF_000001405.40. Taxonomy (NCBI): domain Eukaryota; kingdom Metazoa; phylum Chordata; class Mammalia; order Primates; family Hominidae; genus Homo; species Homo sapiens. The sequence continues at coordinate 13,557,446 of NC_000006.12, forward strand.
CCCTTTCTATCTTCATCAGCAATAAAAACTATTACTTAAAAATATAGTTGATTTTTAAAATCAAGAATTAGTGAGTTGTTTGGACTTAATTGTATTTTATAAGTAATCAGGTCCAGTGATTTTTTTTTTCATTCGTTGGCCAGACATAAGTCTCCTTTTATGGATTGTTTTTGTTTTAATCCAGTTATCTATTGGGGAGTTAATGTTTTTCTAATCAATTTGAATGAATAATTAGATAACAAATATTTGTCATTTGTTATAGACTTGGTATTGTCCTCAGGTTGCTATTTCCATTTAACATTTTTTTTTTTACATATTTGAAAATATTTACTGAAACCTCTTGCTGTTTTTATTGTGAAATTTCTCATCTAGAGTTCAGATATTCATTTCTCTTTTCTCTGAGTAACATGTTTTTAACACTTCTGAGAGATTACTCAGTAGTATTTGTAAAAATTATGGTTCAAAATAACACAGAGAGATAAACAACACATCCCCAGCTTTACTTGGACAATTGATTGCTGTGAGCTGTGGGTCTCAACCCACCCAGAACTGATTAGCAAAGCCAGCCCCAGGCCCCCTCCTGGCTGCTCCATTCCCTTGGCAAGCCATTCAGCATTTAATAGCTCTCATTATGTGATGTAGAAAATTCTTCATTACAGCTAATTTGAAACTCTTATTCTGCTATGCAAATCCATTTGCTTTTGCTCCATCCTCAGCAGAGACAGAGTGGCTAGCCATTGTTTTCCAGGTGATGATTCTTCATGTATAACACCTGCCCAGGACATGGTGGACTCTTAATAAATATTTCTTTATTAAAGTTGATACTTAAAATATCTAATTAAAACTACTCTTGGGCTACCTTTCTCCAAGTTAAGTGAGCTAACAACCATCTATTTATTTATTTATTTTTGAGGCAGAGTCTCGCTCTGTTGCCCAGGCTGGAGTACAGTGACACAATCTCCACTCACTGCAACCTCTGCCTCCCAGGTTCAAGCCATTCTCCTGCCTCAGCTTCCCAAATAGCTGCCACCACGCCTAACTAATTTTTGTATTTTTAGTAGAGACGGCATTTCACCATGTTGGCCAGTCTGGTCTCGAACTCCTAACCTCAAGTGACCCGCCTGCCTCAGCCTCCCAAAGTGCTGGGATTACAGGTGTGAACCACCACGCCTGACCCTACCATTTCTTTTTTTTAACCCTTTGGATCATCCTTGTATTTCTCTGATTTCCTTCCAGGTGCTGCCAGGTGCTCAAGGTCCTCTTGAAGTATAGTCTCCAAGCTGAGACAGACAAGAGTCGGTCCTATTACCCCTGCCCCAGAACCCTCCCAGAGGTGGGCTGGTAGCACCCTTGGCAACAGTTTGGCCCACCCAAAAGCAGTGGGAGAAGTGGTGTGGATGACTGTTAGGCATTGCTTTCCTCTGGCAGAGATGCAGGCTGAGATGCAGACAGCAGGCCGCAGGAAACAGGGCTGGGACAGAGCTGGGCTGTCAGGCACAGGAGTGCCAGGCACGGGGAGGAATTAATTTGGCTCACAACCTGACACTGGATTGAAAATTAGCCAATTTCAACAATAACATATTGTTGTTATTAATGAAACTATCATTATCACAAGACAATATATTAAAGCCAACAGACAGTCCTATATGTAAACTCTCGACATGATTAAGGTATTTCCCTTTTTCTCTGAGAACAGCATACATTCCCCAGTCCTTAAAACACTCCCAAGAAAAATCAGACTAATAAAAATAACAGTGCTATAAGCCTGGCTTCTAGGTCACCTTATATCTGAGTAATCTGATGACAGAGGTCATCGTTATTACTTTGGAATAAAAGAGCTACAGTTTGGAAAAGGGAAGAGTCTTGACTGATGCCTATTGTTTTGCTTCAAAACTGAATGTGTGTGGTTTGAATTTCAAATCATCATAAGTGTCTCCTTCCGTGTCTGACAACCTTAGTTGTTACTCAAACTGAATTGAGAATGAGTGAAATGAGGGCTCAGAGGCTGTGCCAAAAACCTCACTCACAGGTGAAAATCGTTACCAACACAACAAGCCAAACAGAGACCAGAGCTTTGCCCTGGGGTCAGGGCCACTCACTGACAGAATAGGAAGATGCCAGTTTGTTTTTTTTTAAAGGTTTAAAAGTGGAATAGGGCAAAAGATAGGTAGTATTTCCACCAGAAAGATGGCCACCAGAAAATAGTAGGAAGGATATAATCAGAATTAATCAAACTTCTAAACTTTATTTTCACTTATGTAGGGTCTTATAACCCTAAAACATCAATTAGTTATACATGTCTAAATTTACTAATAATTCTTGCCAAAATAGACTGATATCTTTAGATAGTTATGGGATTTGAAGCAAGGCCAAAAATAATGAGTTATAATATTAAAATTACTACTGTTAGTATAACTTTATTATAACTACAAGCTTACTATGTGCTGAACAACACAGCAAATGCTTTATATGTTATTTTATTTAATTCTGTGAAACAGATATTGTAATCACATCAGACCACTCCAGTTCAATTTTTATGTAACAATGTTGTAAATTGCTTTTCAATAGCCATAGACTCCCAGGTTGAAGGTGACATAATCTGAGCATGCCTCAATGAACCAGGTGTGCAACCACCAGGGGAATCTAAGAGATGGGATGGAGGAGCGGGGTCTCAATTAAGAAGCAGACAATGCATGGCAGGATCCAGGATCCAATCAGATCAAGCTCTGGTGTCACCCCATGGCAGGATCCAATCAGATTATGTCACCTCATTGCAAGATCCGATCAGATTACATCTTATTATTTCATGCTTATAAAACCTGACCCAGCCCCAGCTTGAGGACAGATTTGAATGTTTCTCCCTGTCTGCTTGCCAGTCAACTCACAATTAAACATTTCTTTTCTCAAAAGTCAATGCCATGGTATTGGCCTCTACATGCATTGGAAAAGCAGCCCATTGATCACTAACAGTATTATTATTATTCCCATTTTACAGATAAAGAAACTAAGGCTCAGGGAAACTATTAATAAATAACCTAACCAAGACCACATAGCCAATAAGCACTGGGAGCAAGATTTAAACTCAAACTTGTCTAATCCCAAAGCTTAGGCTATTAATCTTTACTTAAGTTTGTGTGAAGCCTAGTGAACCGCCAGCTATGTGGCCTTAACCATATTACTTAAAAATTCTGAGCCTTCGTTTATCTGATGTATAAAATAGACTTTTGCAGTGACATCTGTTGTTTTTGGTTGCCCAGAATTTATTTCTTCCTTGACTTCTAATAGCACGTTAATTTTCTCTGGGATGATCACCCTCTTCAATTCTTATTTAGTACCCGCAGCACAGATGAAGCTGACTGACTTCTCCATGCTGCATGGAAGAGCATGTGACCCAAATCTGGCCAATCAGGATAGTCCAGCCTCCTGGCTTAGTGGTAAGTTTTAGGTGGTCACATGACCTAAGCAAAGTTAATGAGATTCAGCCCCTATTAGGATCCCCAGTGGGAAAGAGGCATTCTCTTCCTGAAAAGGGAATGTAAACCTAGAACTGCTGGTAACCATTTTTACCATCACCTAGGGAGAGTCTGCCTGGGAATAAAAAGAGTAAAAGAGCTTAAGTTTCTGCATTTCAGCATTTCTAAAGTTTCTTATACTTCTGGGCTTTTCAACTGTACGTGATACATTCTCTCTTTTCCGTAAGCCAGTGTGGAGTAGGTTTCTGCCTCTTGCAACACGAGCTCTGATTAAAGCAATATGTAAAATGCTTAGCACAGTGGTTGACACCTATTAAGTCTTCCATAAATGTTTGTTATTATTAAGATATGCTCTCAGCCGGGCGCGGTGGCTCACGCCTGTAATCCCAGTACTTTAGGAGGCCAAGGTGAGCGGATCACCTGAGGTTAGGAATTCGAAACCAGCCTGGCCAACATGGCTAAACCCCGTCTCTACTAAAAACACAAAAATTAGCCAGGCGTGGTGGCACGCGCCTGTAATCCTATACTCGGGAGAGGCTGAGGCAGGAGAATCGCTTGAACCCAGGAGGCAGAGGTTGCAGTGAACCGAGATCGCGCCACTGCACTCCAGCCTGGGCAACAAAAGGGAAACTCGGTCTCAAAAAAAAAAAAAATGTTCTCAAAAGTGTATACAAAATTTTAAAAAATCGGAAGTGTTTGTTTTTGTTTTGCTTATTTGGCCTGAAGAAAAACACAATTTCCAACCACCTCCCAGTTTAATATTTTGTCAAAGGGAAAACGCTTATATGGCCTAATTAAATGAAGCTATGTCAGCTTCATTGCATGCTAAACGTAGCCCCTAAAAGAAGGAATCTTCAGCTTGTATTGCTAATGTTGCATGGCTTCTGTTTTGTAATCATTTCTGTTTACATACGTCATTAAATGTGGAACATCCTGCCCATCAGATTTGTGTGAAGGGTTCATTTGAAGAAAATATTCTGCATCTTAAAAAAAAAAGCTTGAAAATGATATACCCAATCTCCCCCAATTTAACCAAACAGGAAATGTGCCAGTGAGCTTGGTTCGCTGTGTTCCGCCTGAACTTCCAGCTAAGTGTTCTTTCCAACATTCGCCTCTGCTGACCTTTGGTGACCTGAACACTGACATGTGGCAGGCCCAAAAGTCACTCGTTTTCTTTTTGAGCTAGCAGCAGGATTACTCAATGGCCGATTTGGAAATGACATTTCAATAGTTTAGCCGGTGGGTTTTGTTACTCCACACTCAACAGGCTCCATTCCTACCTGGTCCGGGTCAAATACCTAAATACTTGCCTTCTCTACAATATTGCATTATGCTGCCTCAGAAATAAATAGCTGACAGTGAAGAGCTCAGAAAATTAGTTGATGCTGAGATGATAGAATGCAAGAGTGAACAAAAAAGTCCATTTAGGTAGAAGCTTTTTCTACTAGGCTGAAGAATGATTGACTCTCTTGGATTCTCTCTTTAGATTACTATTGCTTAATTGTAGGGTTTTCTAGAATGCAAGGAGAACTGAATTTGAATTCCCTTCTAGAGCTTTCCTTCAGCCTTTTTGAGGAAGGTAAAATTAAAAATTGAAAGACAAGCAGTCTTCTGGTGCTAAAGCCCAGAGGTAGCAACTATTGATTTTGCATGGCAATGCCCTAGGATTCACTTCAGTGCTTTTAACCTTTCCTTGACTGAGAGTCCTAAAAAAGGTGGACTATTGGCCGGGTGCAGTGGCTCACACCTGTAATCCCAGCACTTTGGGAGGCCAAGGCAGGCAGATCATGAGGTCAAGAGATCAAGACCATTCTGGCCAACATGGTGAAACCCCGTCTCTACTAAAAATACAAAAATTAGCTGGACATGATGGCACGTGCCTGTAGTCCCAACTACTTGGAAGGCTGAAGCAGGAGGATCGCTTGAACCCAGGAGGTGGAGGTTGCAGTGAGCCGAGATCGCACCACTGCACTCCAGCTCCAGCCTGACGACAGAGCAAGACTCTGTCTCAAAAAGAAAAAGAAAAAGAAAAAAAAAGTGTAGTATTTTTGTAAAATATATTTTAAACTGACTATGAAGAAAAGAATAATAAAATATTAGCTAGCAACTGTGAATAACTGATAGCTTGGCTAACAGCCAAGAAATGACTGCTTTATTTAGGTAAATATTTTCTTTATATCAAGTTTAGTGACTTTGGGTCTAAACCACCTCTTCCATTAACCCCTAAGAAGGTCATGTTGGAACATGAGTGTGAATATGTAAAAACCCAGGGAGAGATGTCTCTAGTGACAGTTTTAGTGTCTGTGGTTAAGGCGCTGAGCTGGATTGATTTAGAAGTCTTACAGCAGCAAGGTTTAAGACCCTTCTCAAGCCAGCACTTCCCTAAGCCAAGCTTCCAAAAGAATCAGCTCAGCACTTAGTTAATTCTTCTCTTGCTTTTGACTTTTAAAGTGGCCTGGATTTATTGCAGCCTTCTACCAATGAATGATACAATGTTGAGATCACACAATCTCAGATTTGACAGTGCCTCACTCCCTAACCTTAGGCCCATCACATAACCTGTGTGTCCAAGTAGTTGCACTTAAAACAAAAGATGTTAACATTGACCTGAAGATTCAGGGAAAAATATCTTACTAATGATGTGAAAGCACTTAGGACCTATAGTGTGCTATAAAAATCTCTCCTTCAATAATATATGGATAGCCTAAGTGAAGCATGGTAGCCAGCTGCCATGGTGGAAATGAGCTGCATAGGTACCATTTTGGCATTCAGTGAAATGTAAGACGATGAAGGATATCCTTCCTCCACCACGGAACTTTTGCCAAGGGACAAATACATCAAAGTAAAGGACACCTGCAAACTTGCCTTTTACTCACTTCCCTCTGGGTGTACTGTAAGGATGTGATCTGTGATTCAAAGCTGTCTTTATAAAGTGTCAAAAAGCCTGAGCTCTGCTCGTTGCCTTTGGCCTTTATTGGCCAAGGAGGCAGAAAGAAAAGCTTGTGTTATGAAGCATGCTGGAGCAGAAAACGCTAACAGGGTTAGAGTGTGTAAGGGTCTGTCTAGAAACTGTAGTGGAGTATGTGAAAGAAGAGACGCACAGGCAAGTGGATACCTGGTCACTCATCCTCATGTTTCGGAAAACATGTAAGTCTGCTGCTGTAATATGAAGCATTTCCAGACCCAAAGAGGCCAATATAAGGCAACACTTGTAAGAAGGTTGTACTTGGTATTGCAGTGGGCATTGTCCTTCTTTTTGGCTGCTCAGTACCTGTACCTCTTTCCCATGTTTGGGGAATTCTCCCACCTTGTGAGTTCTGGTGGGAAGCAGAGTCAGTCTTCCACTCCAGAAGGTGAAAATGCAAGACGCTTGCTTTCCCAGGTAACAGCTGCAGGACTGATGTTCTGCAGAGGCACCCACCCTGACTTAGAAAAATGACGAAAAGAAGGGACCAAAAATAACTCACTGACAATGGCAGAGGATTCAGAAATTCAACTTCTCGGGCAGCAGAGAGAGTGTGCCTGGGGTAACCTCCATATCCACAATGCGCAGCATCCATGGTTCAAGCTCAGATCTGATCCTGGTAGTTGCTACTGAGGTGTTCCTTCTGCAGCAGTTCTGCAGTGGAATTTTGAGCATTGCTCCTGGCAGGTGGTCCTAGACCTGGCCTCAGTGACTCTGAGATACCTAGCCTCCTTTTGTTGTTGTTGTTATTTATTTATTTATTTAGAGACAGGGTCTCAGTCTGTCACCCAGGCTGGAGTGCAGTAGCAAGACCAAGGCTCACTGTAGCCTCAACCTTCCAGCTCAAGCGATCCTCCCACCTCAGCCTCCCGTATGGCTGGGACTACAGGCACATACCATCGCACCCAGCTAATTTTTAAAATTTTCTGTAGAGACAATGTCTCCCTATGTTGTCCAGGCTGGTCTTGAACTCCTGGGCTCCCCATTCAGCCTCCCAAAGTGCTGGAGTTACAGGCAGGAATCACTGTGCCCAGCTGTTAAGTGTTTAATATGAACATTTTGAAACATATACAAAAGTAGAAGGAATAGTATAATGAACCCACTTTAGCCATTCTCTATCTCTTCATCCCCTACTCCTCCTGGTGTAATTTACTTATCATAAAATTCACGCATTGTAGTTGAACAATTCAGTGAGTTTCAGTAAATTTAAAAAGTTGTCCAACCATCACAATTAAGTCACATTTTTGTTTTGTTTTAGTGTACAGTTCAGTGGATTTTGGCATGTGCATAAATTTGTGTACCATTATGACAACGAGGATACAGACAATTTTAATCACCCCAAAGAACTCCCTTCTGCTGTCTATAATCACACCCCTTCCCACTCCTAACTTCTGGCAACTGTTGATTTGTTGTCCATCCCTAGAGTTTACCTTTTCTAGAATGTTATATAAATTGAAATATATAGTAGGTAGCCTTTTATGTCTGCATGGTGTCTTTGAGATTCATCCAAATTGTTTCATGTAGTCCATTGCTTTTTATTGAATAGTATTATGTTGTATGATGTACTACCATTTGCTCATCCATTCCCCTACTGATGGACATTTGGTTGTTTCCATTTGGGGGAGATTATGAATAGAGTTGCTATCTAGAAACTTTTTTTTTTTTTTAATGAGACTGGGTCTCATTCTGTCACTCAGGCTTGAATGCAGTGATGTGATCATAGCTCACTGCAGCCTCAAACTCCTGGGCCCGAGCCATCCTCCAGCCTCAGCCTCCTGAGTGGCTGGGACTACAGGCCACCACAACTGGCTAATTTTAAAATTGTTTTCTAGAGACAGTCTCATTATATTGCCCAGGCTGGTCTTGAACTTCTGGCCTCAAGGAATTCTCCTACCTTGGCCTCCCAAAATATTGGGTTACAGGTGTGAGCCACCACACCTGGCCCTAATCTTTTTTAATGAATTCATTTTTTAATAGTTCAGTCAGCCAGTTGGTTTCCGTTGTTTGCAATTAAGAATCAAATGGCTATTCCTCTATAACTGGAACATCCGCAGATCTCACTCGCTAACAGTATAAATAAGCTCATTACCACTTACTTATTTTATTAGTCAAACATCCCATACCTACATCACTACAGTATCCCAGGTATTGTTTTGCTTTGATTTTTGTTGTGAAGGGGCATCTTCAAACCCCTTCACGCCAGTGCCCATGTCAGCAGGATGACTCATCCCCATCCACTGCTCAACAGTCTCCTTGGGCCATTGCCTACAGATCATTTGTGCTGTGTGATGGATAATGACTTGTGAATCCTGCTCTTCTTGGTTTATATTCTTAGAGGCCGTAGGAGAGATCCTTAGACCCCAGGCATCACAGAATTTAATGAGCCAAATGCTTTACTTTTACATAAGCTCTTTCCTCTCTAAAGCTCAGGTGGTGTCAAGGGGACTGGCTTGGGCAGGCTTGCGTCATGACCACTATGCTCTGTCTACTTAGACCTGCTGCCCGGCTTCAGACCTTAGACTTATTGTTGAGACCAGCTCAACACGCCTTCCTGTTTCTTTCCTGAGGATGAATTCACTTCCAGGGTCCCCGTAGTCCACACTCTGTCTTCTAGAGAGCCCCCTTCCGCATTTCCCTGCCAGTTCACCACATACGCCTTTCTTGGTGGTATCTTGTACCACACATGTCCATCATGGGGAGGATAAGCAAGTTCAAAGGGCTGTGGACCTGGGTGAGGCCAGGACATGTGGAAAGTCCCAAGAGTTTCCACTGCTTTTTTCTCATCTTATGTCTCATTCTCCTCCTCTGCTTCCAAAAATCATCAGGTAAATGCCCTCTTGAACTTCCACTGGTAGGTAAACAAGGGCAGTAACTCTCAAACTGTAAAGTGCATACAGTCACCTTAGGATCTGAAAATGCAGATCCTGATGGAGCATTTTAGAGTAGGGATTTATATTTAGCATTTCTAAAAACTTCCAGGTGTTGCTGATGCTGCTGTTTTCAGAATCACGCCTGTTTGACATGACGGAAATTTCAGAATCTGGTTAATATTCATTTTATGCCTTTCCAAGAGGGTTGATATATGGTTTCTTTTTCAAGGAGATTGATGAAACAGTACAAAGATGAGGGGGTTGATAGTTGCTAATAACTACTCAGATGTTATTTCAAAGTGAAATGTATAAAGTAATTTCATAACCTAGTCCTGGAAAGTAGCAAATGAACAGCAACTGCCTATTGGGTGGTACTGTATGCTAGGCACTATGTTAAATACTCTTCATACCTTATTTCATTTAATCCTTACAACAATGCATTCAGAATGAGCATTATTAGCCCCATCTGAAAGGTGAAAAATCTGAGGTTCAAGATGCTAAGACAGAATTGGTGAAGACTGGATTCTTAAATCCTGTGCTTTTCAGTCCCACAGAACATTGCCTGCAACACACTTCTACATGCACTCCAGTGTTTATCACACACTCAGTGGAGTAAGTGATCAAATCTGTTTATGAAATAAATACAGATCGAATATGTAATAAAATGGACAAATGTCCGCTGAAGTAGAACTTAAACCCAAGCTCTCTTCTGTGTGTTTCCTGAGGGTGTTTTTTGTTCCTACCGCTCTAATAAAGTGTCCTGATTAGAGACAATGCCGGTGCACTAGTTTTGCCTCAACTTCAATCTTTTGCCTTGACCTCTCACCAGATTATATTAAACTTCTTAAAGACTCTGATGAAAAAAATTTTTTAAATGCTTTATGCGCCTAAGGAAAATGTTAATATTTACAACAGGTACCCTGTAGAGCTCTGTATTAGAAAGGAAGGGAGAAAAAGCAAAGACTAAATTTCAGTATTTAAAGTTTTGAGGAGGGGCTAAAGAAAAAAACAAAAAGAGTATGTTTGATAGTAGAGTTTTATTATTTCATCCATGCACTGCTAATATTATCAGTACTCATACAGAGCTCACATTGAAGGCCTAGCCAGTTTTTGGCACATATAAGATAAATGAATGAGTATATAAATGGATGGATGCTGTGATGGATGTATAGATGGATGGATGGATGAAATTATACTAGAGGTGGCTGCATCTACCCAGTCAATTTGAAGAATATTGGATTTTTATTCTCGTGTTTCTTAGCTTTTGACCTACTGTCTTATTTTTTGTTTTGTTCAGTTCTTCATGTAAAGATGACTTTTCGAAATGAACACATCCTTTGGTTAACTTCCACAACTTATTTTTAATTATAAAATATTTAGGAATAAATTAAATAGGAAAATGTGGAAAATTCATATGAAGAAAGTTGAAAACATTCCTGGGAGATTTACAAGATGACTTGAATAAATGGAAAGGTAAACATTGTTTTTAAATAGGAAAGTTCACTATCATAAATCTGTTAATTCTCCTTAAAGCAATTTATACATTTAACTTGCTCCCTTCAAAAATATCAATAGGATTCAGTTTCTAGAGCTGCATAGCTTTTAAAAAATTCTGCTTCCTTCCCCCTCCCTCCCATCTTCTCCTCTCCTTCGCCTCCCCACATGCTTGTACAAAGCGAAAGTTTTCTTCATTGGAAAAACTGCACCACTCTTGGGGACAACCTGGGGACAGCAAGCAGAGGAGAGTGAGGGAGAGATGCTGTACTGGGAAAAAAAAAAAAAAAAAGAGGACTAAGAGAAAGTCTACATTTTAATATTAAGGACCTCCCACCCTATCCCAAACCCTCTTCCACGACTCAGTCAGGAAAACTCTGGCAAACAGGCACATACCTTTCACCAACAGGATACTGTATGATGCTTCTTTAAATACCTGAAAGCCTCAAAGACTGACATTTTTTTGTGTCCTCCAATGAACTAGCTCTATCCTTGCCCAACAGTGAAGCCATTCCTCAACCCCCACCCCTACCTGGGATCATCCTATCCATTTTTGGTGTCTTGCTGTGAACAGTCAAGGATCATCAGATACTTGAGGAAAGCCTCCAACATGATCTCTCATGATCTCTCCAAAACAAACACAAAAGGAAACAGGAGAAAATAGAGACAATGTAGGGAGCAAAAGAAAAAAATGCACATTTTATATGTTATATATAATGTACAACATTATATATATATGTTTTCATGTATCAGGATATTACACGCAATGTCCCTGGTTGCCTCAGAATGTTGCTTAGGTTCAGAAGGCTGAGAAGAAAAGAGGTGACGAGCACCCCCACCTTAGAAAGAGAGGTGCTAGACTATTCATAGTTGGCAACAGCATGGGCTCAGGAGCCAGAAGGCCTGGGTCCAAATTCTGACCCTGTAGTTAGCAACTCCGTGACCAGGGGCAGATTAGTTCATCTGTCCATGCGGTAAAATGAAGAAAATCAAAGCCTCTACCTCACTGGGTCATTGTGAGGATTGAAGAATAGAATAACCCATGGGGAATGTTCATAATCGTGCCTGGTGCTTAGAGCTCAGCAAACATTAGCTATTGTTACTGTTATGCCATTATTAGCCCCTCACTCATCCAGAGACACGTAAAAGGAAAAAAATTCTCTGACTGTCGTTGTTAAAATGCAGGTATGTTTCTTATCTCTCATTGGTGAGGAGAACAGAGCTTTTCCCTACACCTCAAGACAAATGAGGAGGGCTTCAGAAAAACACCCAGAGAGCTTGACCTGTGTCCCTAGAGCTGGAGGACCTCAGGGACTGGTAGCCAATATGTACCTGTGAAAACCCACAGGAAAGAAGTGGCTAGGTGGGCCTGAGGGAACAGACCCAAGAGAGTTTGGGCTGTGTTAGGAATGCCTCTGTTTCCAGGATTCAGCAGTGAAAAGATTCAGGCACGTTTTCCACGGACTTGATACGGCCCCATGGGAAAGGGAGTTGGCTTTTAGTTTTCTTGGGAAGAATCCTGTTCTACCAGCTTTCTGTCAAGAGAAGGGCCCTCTGCTAGAAAAGATCCAAACCTACCAAGATGCAGAAGCTAAGGAGACCATGTCAAGGGAGCTAAGGTTATAAGAATCCCCCCAAACTATACAGGTCTCTCATCAGAGAAAGAATCAGCATTTGGAAACTGCTAGGACTTTGATCCTCATCCTTGAACTATTGTAGAGACCAAGGACCAGGGTGGAAAGGTATCAGAGACAAAGAGGTCCTCAAGCATGGACCTTCCCCACTAAACTCCCTCCTACCCCCACCCAATAACTATGGACAACTTTCCATCCAATGGTAAACATTGGGAGAGTGGAGAACTTGGACACCTCATTGGAGATGGATTGGGGTATTGTCTTAGTCCATTTGTGCTGCTGTCACAGAATACCACAGACTGGGTAACTTATAAAGAACAGTAACTTATAAAGAACAGAAATTTCAGCCGGGCGTGGTGGCTCACGCCTGTAATCCCAGCACTTTGGGAGGCTGAGGCGGGTGGATCACGAGGTCAAGAGATCGAGACCACCCTGGTCAACGTGGTGAAACCCCGTCTCTGCTAAAAATACAAAAATTAGCTGGGCGTGGTGGCACTGTAGTCCCAGCTACTCGGGAGGCTGAGGCAGGAGAATCGCTTGAACCCAGGAGGTGGAGGTTGCAGTGAGCCAAGATCGTGCCATTGCACTCCAGCCTGGGCAACAAGAGCGAAACTCCGTCTCAAAAAAAAAAAAAAAAAAGAAAAGAAAAGAGTAAAAGAATATGGGCTCATTGGCTGGGTGTGGTGGCTCACATCTGTAATCCTATCACTTTGAGAGGCCGAGGCAAGCTGATCACTTGAGGTCAGGTGTTCGAAACCAGACTGGCTGACATGGTGAAACCCTGTCTCCACTAAAAATACAAAAACATTAGCTGGGCATGGTGGCAAGCGCCTGTAGTCCCAGCTACTCGGGAGGCTGAGACAGAAGAATCGCTTGAACCTGGGAGGTAGAGGTTGCAGTGACCCGAGATTATACCACGGCACTCCAGCCTGGTGACAGAGCAAGACTCTGTTTAAAAAAAAAAAAAAAAAAAGGGGCTAATTGGTTGGTCAGGGGTGGCTCACGCCTGTAATCGTAGCACTTTGAGAGGCCGAGGCAAGCAGATCACCTGAGGTCAGGAGTTCGAAACCAGGCTGGCCAACATGGTGAAACCCCGTCTCTACTAAAAATACAAAAACATTAGTTGGGCATGGTGGCAGGCGCCTGTAGTCCCAGCTACTCGGGAGGCTGAGGCAGGAGAATTGCTTGAATCCGGGAGGCAGAGGTTGCAGTGAACCAAGATTACGCCACTGCACTCCAGCCTGGCAACAGAGCAAGACTCTGTCTCAAAAAAAAAAAAAAGAAAGAAAATAAAAGAATATGGGCTCGTCATCCAACCATCCAGCCATCGAAAGACAGTGTGTTGTTCTCGTGGCCCGAGACTGCCTTCTGTTGCAGACTTGTCCTGACAACCTAGCTTTCCTCACTGCAGAGCATGCAAACACCTGCAATCCCCATTTTCCTGTCTGCCACCTCTCAGTTATTCATGTCAATTTTATTTCTTAAGATGTGCTGTGTGCACTGTTACTGTGTGTAGCAGGGTTGGGAAAATGCTATGGCTACATGTTACACGCAGATGCACTGACCAGCTGATGGAGGTTAGCGTCACAACTCATGGTGCTGTGTGTGATGCTCCAACTCAGGGTAGGGTCATTCTAGGAAATAAATCCCTAGGCATTTATTTCCATATTTATATTTGCACCAGAAGCTTAAAGAGGACAGTTCACCCCTGAGAGACAGCAGTGATAACCAATAAAGTGAGAGATCCCAAGAGGATGTAAAACTCAGGATGGAGAGAGATTTTCTTTCCAGAGTTAAAGCTTGACATGTCTGAATCTCACCAAAGGAAATAGGCAAAATTATTTTCCAGTGTATGTGCTTCTAAACTTTTCTGTCACCTACCCACATGTCCCAGGAAAACCTCTGTAAATAGGATGAGTTATCAATGAACTCTATCTTGCTTGTTTATTTTTTATTTTGTGCTGCTACAGACAGACTCATAAGCAGAAAGAAAAGGTCATTCGCCTCTTAAATTTTAGTAAAGATAGCCCAAGCCATTATCCTCTGAGTTTGAGGCTGCTTTTCCTGTGAGATTGTTCATTCATTTATTTAATATGTATTTACTAATTCAGCATCTACTATAAGGGATCCTGAGGTGCTGGGAATACCACGGGGAGCAAAACAAAACAAGAAGCCACCTTCACAGCCTGGTGGAGGAGAGAAACTTTAATCAAATACACAGAAATATATTTAAAATCTCAACTGGGATAAGTGCCATGGTGCTACAGGAGCTTATATTAGAGACAAGGGACCTCATGCAGTTGTGAGGGAGGAGGGTTTAAGAAGGCTCCCCCCGCCCCACCCCACCAAGGAACAATTGAATTGAGACTGGAAGGATGAGGGGAGTTACTGTGGAGGGGATAGGAAAAAGTCATCTGGGAAAAGAGAACGGCCTTTTAGAAGGGCAAGGCCATCGAGAAATTAAGCTGGAGTTGCCTGAAAGATGGAAAGGATAGTGGCTGATGTATCAAGATGAGGAAGTGGCTCGACATTGGTCAGGGAGAGGTGGCGTTTCCAAGTCTGGGAGAAGGGACGAGTTCCAGGGCTGGTATGTGGATGGCGGGTGCCTGGATCTTGATGGAATATAATGCCCCAGAAGTGGCAGAACCTGTGGGTGGTGAAGGCTACATATCGGGCCTGTGGACTGTGAAAGTTTGCAATAACTGGCACTGTCTCCCTCTTCTTCCAATTGAAAGGATTAACACACAATGGTCAATATGAAAGCACAAAAGAAATGGAATACACTTTAACGAGAATTGGTATGTGTAGCAGCTTGGAACCTTGTCTTTGAAGTCAAAGCACTTAGATTTAAATCCCAGCTCTACTGTTACTGGTAAATTGCGTTCTTTTCCTAGTCTGTATCAGTTGCAAAGAAAGCACACCAACTGGAAAAAACGGCAAGCGGGTTTCATTCCTGGCCAGGAATAGAGAAGGAGTAAACTTTCACTCTAAAGACCCCCTTCTTCCAGAGCTTTGGGAAGCTGGGGAATTGTAAGGCGTTAGATGTGGAGTGGGGAGGTATGCAAGCATATGCCGGGAGGAACTCTAGACGCACAGGTGCATTTCATAAACATGCCTCTTCATACAATGCACTATCAGAAAATGGCGGCGATTCTCTTCTACGGGTCGGGAGTTGAGCATATAATGATGTATTAATGATCTAAAAGTAACAAGGGGTGGCTGGTTCTGGTTTTCTCTGGTTCCTAGTAGGCCTTATCTTTCTCTGGTACTTGGCAAAGGGCAGTGAGGATCCCGGGCCAACCGCAGTTGTTTTAAGCTGGGTTACCTATAGATAAAGAGACTAGGAAAAAAAATCAAACAAACAAAACGGTTTAAAAAACAATGAGCATTTTCAGCTGTCTACTGTTTAAGAAAATAATGAGCTCTCAGTTTTGCCCTCTGAGCGATTTCTCCAGGACTGCCCTGGTAACACTACTACTCAACAGTTTTGTGCTTTGCGCAGTTACTTGACCTCCCTGGGCCTCGGTTTCCCCACCCATAAAGTGGGGATAACAGTACCTATTTCATCAGGTGGTGGGGACGATTTAAAATGGTTAATAATGTGCAGTTCTTAAAAGTGTCTGGCTCAGAATAAGCACCATACACGTTAGGGGGAAAAACAGCAGCCGGATGTGAGGCCCTCCCCAATTTCGTTACTCCATAAACCTCTGAGTTGCTGGTAACACCTGCAGGAATGAGAAGGGCCTCAACATGGGCTGAATTTCCAGCCAAACTGTGGGAAGTGGCTGAGATTTTAGGTAGGCAAAAAATGTTAATGTAACATTTTTGGCCCCCAAGTTCTCAGACCACTTACTTCCCTTTCTAGTCCACTGACATGCCCGCAAGCAATTCCATTCTGCCAAGTGGTGCTGGTGGCAAGCCGGAATCCAAGAAAAGGAAAGACTCCGATTTTAAGGGAACGGGGACATGCGGAGCCACGTGAGTCACTGGGTCCCAGAGCCACGGAAGGCTCTCAGCTCAGCAGTCAGAGTGCACTCGTCATTGCGTTCGAGGTTAGGTGGCCTAGCCTGGGAACCAACTCACCGTCATTTGAAATCGTTTTAGGGAAAATGACCCTAACATTTAAAATCCTCTCTCCTGAAGTTGTGTGGTCCAGCCGTTTGCTGAAGGAGGAAGCAAAGCCGGTAGTAACTCACTACATATTTGGGCAGTGGAATGAACCCTGGAAGCTGACAAAGTCGAAGCAAGTCACTGCGCCGCCCCCCACCCCCACCCCCACCCCAAATAAAAACAGAGAGACAATCCTTCAATTATAAAGAAGACCACGGCGCCCGGGTCTCCGGCAGGGGCCGCTGCAGCCGAGCAGAACGCTGAGCCGCTCCGCCCCACGGCCTCCTCTCCAGCCGGCGCGCCCGCCTCCCGCAGGTGCGTCTCTGCCTGCGCCGGGCCGGGGTCTCCGCGGCCTCTCCCGCTCGGGCTCCGGCTTCGAGGTCCCGACCAAGCACTGCTCTCGCGGGACTGCGCGCACCGCCCAGGGCCTGCCGCGGGCTCGCGAGCGGAGGTGGCACCGGTCCGCGGTGCGCATGCGCGGCCCGGCCTCTGCCCTGCGGTCCCGGGCTGGTGACTGGCTAGCGGTTGGAGGAAGGGATGTGGGGGATGGTGGGTGGGTACAGAGAGCTGGGAGGGAGGCACCCCGGGGGGCGGGGCGTGGGAGACTGTATTCGGGGGCGCGAGCTGCCCCAGGTGAGCCGTGGCTCAGGTCCGGAGCGCGGTCGGGACACAGCGCCTCTAGGAGAAAGCCTGGAAGGCGCTCCGGGGGTACCCAGAGCTCTTAGCGGGCCGGCAGCATGTGCGGGGCCCAAGGTCTTCCGGGCTCTGCGTGGGGGTCGCTGCGGCTGGAGACCAGGGAGGGGGATGGAAACGGGGTTGGAAAGTAATCCCACCCGAGCAGGTGGGCATGGGAGGCCGCTGTGCTGGGGAGCCCCGCGAGGGCTCCGAACAGAGCCTCCCTTTTCAGAAAGGTCACCCTGGTCATTGCAGCTGCCAGGGTGACCGAGGAAGGTGGCCGGGGTGGAGGCAGTGGGCGTGGAGAGGGGTCGGATTCCGGACGTAGTTTGAAGGTGGAGCCGTCAGGTTCTGCTGAGCAGCTTGGCTATGGGGCGTGCGAGAAGGGAAGGCTCAGGGCCTAGTCCCTGGGCACGAGTAGTAGCCGGGAGGATGAAGTCCCAGTGCTTCGGGGGGAGGCGGCTTGAGGACGGCTCTGGAGCTCAGGCTTGCCCGCGTGGAGTGGAAGCTGCCTCTTGGACACAGGGCGGGGAGGCCGCATGCAGTCTGGCGCGCTGGGAGGATGGGAGATCCAGAGGGGCAGGGCTGGAGGGGTAGGAGGAAAACCTGAAGAGGGTGGCGCCCGGAAGCCCGGGAAAGTGATGAACTGGGTCAGAGGCCGGGTATCAACAAATAGGAGGGTGGAGACGACCTTGAGGAAAGCAGGTGATGGAACGGGAGGGAATGGGGCCCCCTAGTGGAGACACCTGGGAGTGATGTATTGCATTTATTTAGCTCTTAGGCGTTCAAAAATTATTTATTGGGAGCCTGTACAACTTTTTGCAGTTCATTGCATTATCCTTAGCATGTATTTTGTTTTATATAAATATATATTTATATAATTATTTTTATTGACAAATTTATATATTTATAGCGTACAGTGTAATGTTTTGATATATGTATACATTGTAGAAAGATTAAATCAAGCTAATTGACATATCCATCACCTCACCTACTTATTTTTTGTGGTGAAAATCTACTCTCCTGGAAATATACAATACATCATCAACTATGGTCACCATGCTGTGCAGTAGATCACTAAAACTTACTCCTCTTACCTAACTAAAACTTTGTATCCTTTGACCAACATCCCTCCCTTCCACATCAGCCCTCTGCCAGGCCCCTGGTAACCATCATTCTACTCTGCTTCTATGAGTTCAACTTTTTTAGACCCCAAGTATATAAGTAAGATCATGTGCTGTTTGTCCTTCTGTGCCTGGCTTATTTTACTTGGCCTCATGTCCTCCAGGTTCATCCATGTTGTTGCAAATGACAGAATTGCCTTCTGTTTTAAGACTGTATAGTATTCCATTGTATATATGTGCCACATTTTCTTTATCCGGTCCTCAGTTGATGGATACTTAGTTGCTTCTATATCTTGGTTATTGTGAATAATGCTGAAAACAACACAGGAATGCAGCTATCTCTTCAACATACTGATTTCAATTCCTTTGTATATATACCCAGAAGTAGGATTTCTGGGTCATGTGGTAATTCTATTTTTAGATTTTGAGGAGCCTCCATACTGTTTTCCAAAATGGCTGTACTAATTTACATTCCACCAACAGTGTACCAGGGTTCCCTTTTCTCCACATTCTGGACAAAACTTGTTGTCTTTGATCTTTTTTATAATAGCCATTCTAACAAGCGTGAGGTGGTAGCTCAGTGTGATTTAATTTGCATTTCCCTGGTGGTTAGCAAAGTTGAGCGTTTTTCATGTATTTGTTGACCATTCATATGTCTTCTTTTGAGGAATACCTGTTCAGGTTCTTTGTCCATTTTTTAACCGGGTTATTCGTTTTGTTTTGTTTTGCTGTTGAGTTTTTTGAGTTTCTTATATATTTTAGATAAGAGCCCCTTATCAGATGCATGGTTTGCAAATATTTTCTCCCAGTCTGTGGGTTGTCTCTTTACTCTGTTAATTATTTTCTTTGCTGTGCAGAGGCTTTTTAGTTTGATGCAATCCCATGTGTCTATTTTTGCTTTTGTTGCTTTTGGGGTCCTATCCAAGAAATCATTGCCCAGACTAATATGGAGTTTTCACCTATGTTATCTTCTATTAGTTTTACAGTTTCAGGTGTTATGTTTGAGACTTTAATCTATTTTGAGTTGATTTTTGTATATGGTGTGAGATAAGGACTCAATTTTGTTATCCAGCATGTGGATATTCAGTTTTCCTGATGCCATTTATTAAAGAGACTTTCCTTTTCCCATTGTGTGTTCTTAGCACCTTTGTCAAAAATCAATTGACTGTAAATACTTGGGCTTATTTCTGGGCTTTCTATTCCTGTTCCATTGGTTGATGTGCCGATTTTTATGCCAGTGCCATGCAGTTTTGATTACAATGGCCCTATAATATATTTTGAGATTAGGGAGTGTGATGCCTTTGGCTTTGTTCCTTTCACTCAAGACTGCTTTGGCTATTTAGGGTCTTTTGCAATTCCATATGAACTTTAGGATTGTTTTTTCTATTTCTGTGAAAAATGATATTGGAATTTTGATAGAGATTACATTGAATCTGTAGATTGCTTTGGGTAGTATGGACACTTTAACAACCATTAATTTTTCTAATCCGCGAACATGGGATACCTTTTTACTTATTTGTGTCTCTTTTCTCACATCAGTGTTTTATGGTTTTCAGTGTACAGGTCTTATATCTTTGGTTAAATTTACCTGAAGTGGTTTTTTCTTTAATGCTATTATAAATGAAATTGTTTTCTTAATTTCTTTTTCATATAGTTGGTTGTTAGAGTATAGAAACACCACTGATTTTTATATGTGATTTTGTATCCTGCAACTTCCCTGAATTTATTAGTTCTAACAGTTTTTTTTGGTTGAGTCTTTAGTGTATTCTGTATATAAAATCATATTATCATCAAACAGGGATCATGCTGATAACATCTTATATATAGAAATCTCATATATCTTATATGTCTCTCTATATTATATATATATTTATATATCCCTATAGATCTCTCTGTATATCTTATATACATAGATATTATATATCTATATTTTATATACATATCTATATTATATATAGATCTTATATATAGAAAACATATATAGAAAAATTCTTCCCTTCCTATTTGGATGACTTACTTCCTTTCCTTGCATAATTGCTCTGGCTAGGACATCTAGTACTACACTGAATAGACAATGTGAGAGTGAGCATCATTGTCTTGTTCCTGATCTTAGAGGAAAAGCATTCAACTTTTTACCGTTGAGTATGATTTAGCTGTGAGTTTGTCATATTTGGTCTTTCTGTGTCACAGTACTTCTATACTTATTGAGAGTTTTTATTATGAAAAGATGTTGAATTTTGTCACATGTTTTACTGCATCTTTTGAGGTGATCATACAGTTTTTGTCCTCCATTTTGTTAATATGGTATATCTCATTTATTGATTTGTGTATGTTGAGCCATCTTTGCATTCCAGGGATAAATCTCAATCATGATGAATGATCCTTTTAACGTGTCAGTGAATTCAGTTTGTTAGTATTTTGTTAAGAATTTTTGCATCTATGTTCATCAGGGATATTGGTCTGTAGTTTTTCTTCTTGTAACGTCCTTCTCTGGCTTTGGTATCAGGGTAATACTGGCCTCCTAAAATGAGTTTAGAAGTATTTCCTCCTCTTTAGTTTTTTAGAAGAGTTTGAAAATAATTGGTATTGGGAGGCCGAGGCAGGCGGATCACGAGGTCAGGAGATCGAGACCATCCTGGCTAACACGGTGAAACCCCGTCTCTACTAAAAATACAAAAAATTAGCCGGGCGTGGTGTCGGTTGCTTGTAGTCCCAGCTACTCGGGAGGCTGAGGCAGAATGGCATGAACCCGGGAGGTGGAGCTTGCAGTAAGTGGAGACGGCGCCACTGCACTGCAGCTGGGGGGACAGAGCGAGACTCCATCTCAAAAAAAAAAAAAAAAAAAAAGAAAATAATTGGTATTAGTTCTGCTTTAAATGTTTGGTAGAATTCAGGTCATCAGTGAAGCCATCAGGTTCTGAGTTTTCTGTAAATTTTTTTCCCTCAAATTTCTGATATAATCTTTCACTTCTATCTTTCAGAATTGGTAGGGTGCCCCCCTTTTTCACAGAGAACATACAGGCTTTTAAAAAAAATCTGTTAGGTGAGTTTCAGATTTCATGAAAAGGCATCGTTAAATGACATTACTTGGATTAATGTCAATTTATAAGAACCTGCCTAGCACCCAAAAAGCTCCCAATGACTGATCAATGAGTTTATTTCCTCCCTCAAGGCCTCTTTTCCCACCTGGAAGATAAAATCAAGGCAGGAGTCTTCACCCAGGGTAACTTTCACCCTGAGTCCTCTTTCCTCTAACTGTCACAATGGTGCCTTGTCACCCTTCTGACATTGCTTCTAAATTTGAACAGGGTTGTAACCTTGTGGAAACTAGAACCACTGCCTGCCCTGACACCCTGGAAAAGCAGATACATGTTGGCACAAAGGATGTTTTCAATAAAGACTTTGTAGTAGTATCTTAAAAGACTATTTAGTAGCAAATACTAAATTGTATTTAGACTTTTAGTCTTAAAATACTTTGTAGTCGCAAATAAAGACTAAGAAAATAGTTTTATGTTATGAACATTTACGATCTTGGGAATAATTCCAGGTGACATTGTTCTTAATTTCTTTTAAATTCTTAATGACTTTTACAATCCTACCTTCATGCCTGATAAAAAAAAATGACAGTTTATTCAGTAGTTTTTTTGAATTCTTTTACAGTAAATGGAAATGTTTTCTAACATATAAAAACCTACAGAAGAAGAAAATAATTTTCTGGATCAAATTAGAAGTCTGTATTATATTGATGTCTCCAGATTCAAATATATTAGAAAGCAGCCGTGGAGACAACCATCTTCATTTTGGGAGAAATAACTAAAGGTATGTATTAAGCTCAAGATGATAGCCTAAGTAACTTCATGCAGCATATAAGAAGCTTTTAGTTACTGTTAGGCAGTATTCAGAGTTTTGATCTTCACAATTTTCATGACATGCAAGTTTAATAATTGTCATCTCTAACGATATTTTTAAAACTTCATGCCCCTAATTATTGAAGCTGGGTGATAAGAATATAAGGGTTCCCCATACTACACTGTTTATTTTTGTATATGTTTAAGTTTTTCCAGATTTTAACAAAAAACCCACAAACTATATTAACACCTCATTTGTTCCTTACTGAGTTTTCCAGGTAAATTGAAGTTTGTCAAAAGTTTATCATGCCCATGCTAGTTGAAGATCATGGCAATCCATTTTCCTCAAGCTTTCTTTAAATCAAGCACTGGAGTGATATTCATGTTGGTTGGATGTCACCATTGTCACTGAGTCTGGGAGCTGCTCACCAGAGTGGCTGCTGGGGCCCATGAGTCTGTTCACTTCCCTCTAGCAGCCAGTCTGCCTGCCTTCCCTGCAGAAGTAACTTTAGGCAGCCAGACAGCCTTGTCCCCTGAGGTTGTTCTGGAGACACTACACCATGTTTCTCTAACCTCTTCTCTTTTTGAGTGTCAATCTTCTTCTACAGTCTTTTTGATTGCAGAAGAGACAGGATACATTGAAAACGTGTTGACTTGCTTGCTTATTTGTAGGTGAGGTTTATCATATTACTCCTTACGCACTGTAAAATTCACGCTTTTTATTATACAGTTCTATGAGTGTTGAAAAAAATCACAAAAATAAAGATAATGTAATTTTACGTTGCTCTAAAAATTTCTCTGCTCCCCCTTACTCCCCCGACCCCTGTCCCTGGAAACCACTGGTGTGATTTCTGTACCAACAGTTTTGCCTTTTTAAAATGTCTTATAAATGGTCTCAAAAACTATGTAGCCTTTTGTATCTGGCTTCTTTCACTTAGCATAATGCTTCTCTGTCTCTCTTTCCCTCTCCCTCCCTCTGTTTCTTCCTCTCTTTTTCTCTTTCTCTCTTTCTCCCTCACTCTCGCTCCTGCTCTGGCCTTCTCTCCTTTCTTTGACAGGGTCTCACTCACCCAGGCAGGGAGTCCAGTGGCACAATCATGACTCACTGCAGCCTCAACCTTCTGGGCTCAAGTGATCCTCCTACCTCAGCCTCCTGAGTAGCTGGGACCATAGGCATGCACTGCCATGCCCAGCTACTTTTTTGTAGAGATGGGGTCTCACTTTGTTGCCCAGGCTGGTCTCGAACTCCTGGGCTCAAGTGATCCTCCTGCCTCAGCCTCCCAAAGTCCTGGGATTACAGGTGTGTGCCACCATGGCTGGCCCTTTTTTTTCTTGTTGTGAAGCAATTTTATTTTGAAATAATTTTAGGCTTACAGAAATGTTGCAAAAATAGTACACAGAGTTCTCATTATACCATTTACCCAATTTCCTCTAATGTTCACATCTTACCTAACTAGAGTGCAATGATCTAAACCAGGACAAGTACTACACCTAGACATTTACATATACAGTACTAGTAACTAATTTACAGGCTTCATTCAAATTTTGCCATTTGTCCTACTAATGTCCCTTTTCAGGTCTTGAATCCAGCCCAGGATCCCACGTAGCATTTACTTGTCATGTCTCATTAGGACCTGGGACAGTTTCTCCAGTTCTTATCTTTCAAAACTTTGATACTTTTCTGAAGAGTATTGGCCAGTTTTGCTGTAGAGTGTGTAGAACGCCCCTCAGCTTGAGTTTGGCATTTTCTCATAACTAAATTGCAGTCATGAATGCCACACAAGTGATGCTTTGCCCTTCTCATTGCATCATATGAGGAGGTAGGTGGAGTCGCCATGTCTTATTACTGGTGATGTTAACTTTGATCACTTGGTTAAGGTGGTAGCTGCCAGCTTTTCTACTATAGAGTTATTATTGGATAACACTTTTAAAGATTCATTCATGCTGTTGAAGGTATTAGTAGTTTGTTCTTATTGCTGAAGAGTCTTCATGGTATGGATAAACCACAATTTGTTTACCCATTTATAAATTGATGGACATTTGGTTTGCTTCTAGTCTTGAGCCTGGCACTATCTGATAGGCCTTGGTGTTCTATTGAACATAAACCACGTCACAGAGCACCGATATCAGACAGGGCCACTCTGTGACCACAATGGGTCAGGACAAGAACAAGGCCACTCAGTAATCACGTCTGAACTGGGACCGAAACAGGAACATTGTTGAAGCCACAAAGATGACCAAACATCCTCCCATGCCGCTAACATGAGGGACTCCTGCTTGGCCACTCACAGCTCTAGCCTCTCTTCATTCCTTCCACCTTTTAGATAAGATCCATTAACAGCATCAAATCCAGAACAAAGCCCCACTTCCATGAACCTCTCCCCAACATGATCTAACACAAGCACAAATCCTCTAATCAGTCCATTCCAGGTTCCTAACAGATGCTGCAGTTCTTCATGGCGTGTTCTATCTCTCGCAACTTGCTCGAGTACAAGTGTGTTCCTTGGACTGGAAGGCATTGATAATCCAAACAATATATAAACACATATGGAAAATCCTTGCTCAGCTCTAATCTCCTTACATAGCGTTTCCCACCCTATACTCAATTCTTTTTACTAATTTCTTGTGAATTCTTTTTTTGTTTTTATAGCAAATGCAAGAAAGTTAAGGTATATTCTTTTATCCCCTTGCCTTTCTCTTACAAAATACAATTGTGGTAAAACACATGTAACAAAATTTAGCATTCTAACCATTATTAAGGGTACAGTTCAGTCTATTCGCATTGTTGTGTAGCTAATCCCCTGAACTCATTTCATCTTGTAAAACTGAAGCTCTATACTCATTATTTTTAAGTAAAATATGTGTCTAATAAAATTAACCCTTTGTTAGTATTGAGTTTTATGAGTTTTGACAGATACAGTCATGTAACTACTACCACAATCGAGATATATAACAATACCATTGCCTCCCACCAAAAAAAAAAAAAAAAAAAATTCCCGCATGCCCCTTTTTAATCACTCCTCCCCTTTCTGGCAACCACCGTTATATTTTCTGCCCCCACAGTTTTGTTGGACAATCAGTGTCATTGTTCCAAATGTTGTCTTTCTCTGTGTTTGTTTTCTTTTTATAAAATTCCTCAGGTATAGACAAAGATTTACTGAATGTGCCTTAAGATCCACGAGTTTCTGTGACACGATGTTATCTTAATACTATTGTCACAGTACACTTCTTTCCTTCAGAATTTAGTTCTCAGTTAGAAATTACATTCTCACAGAAACTACTTTGGGCTGGGCATGGTGGCTCATGCTTGTAATCCCAGCACTTCGGGAGGCCTAGGTGGGTGGATGGCTTGAGCTCAGGAGATCAAGACCAGCCTGGCCAACATGGTGAAACCCTGTCTCTACCAAAAATACAAAAATTAGCCGGGCATGGTGGCGCGTGCCTGTAGTCCCAGCTACTGGGGAGGATGGGGTGGGAGGATCGCTGGAGCCCAGGAAGTCAAGGCTGTAGTGGGCCGTGATCACGCCACTGCACTCCAGCCTGGGTGACAGAGTGAGACCCTGTCTGAAATAAAAGAAAGAAACTGTACTTTGACCGCAAGTTGAGAGACTAGTGGTGGTTTTCATACCTTCTTTTTTTTCTTCTTTGTTCTTTTTTTTTTTTTTTTTTTTTTGAGATGGAGTTTTCCTCTTGTTGCCCACGCTGGAGTGCAATGGTACAATCTCGGCTCACTGCAACCTCTGCCTCCGGGGTTCAAGTAGTTCTCCTGCCTCAGTTTCCTGAGTAGCTGGGATTACAGGCATGCACCACCACTCCCAGCTAATTTTTTGTATTTAGTAGAGACAGGGTTTCACCATGTTGGTCAGGCTGGTCTCAAACTCCTGACCTCAGGTGATCCACCCATCTCGGCCTCCCAAAGTGGTGGGATTATAGGCGTGAGCCACTGCACCTGGCTTCATACCTTTTGAAAAGCAGCAAGTTTTCAAATGAATTCTCATATTTAACCCTTTCTTGTGCATTTTAGTGGTCCTCAAACTTGAGTAGTTACTAGAATCACCTGGAAATAGATGATGGGGTCCACCCCCAGAGTTTCTGATTCAGCAGCTCTGAGGTGGAACCAGAGGCTGCATTTCTAACAAGATTTCAGGTGATGGCGACGCTGCTGGTCTAGGGAACACGCTTTGAGAAGCACTGCTCCAAGGCACCTCTGCACCTCTAGGAGCACTTGAGAACACAAACGGAAAACAGCCAGTTCAGAGGATGATCTGTTACTAAAGATTTTTTAAAGGACATTCGTGTATGTGTGCGTGTGGGTATAATATAATATACATGATGCGTTTCTGTAATATATAAAATATAAATATTTATACATATTTCCATATATAAAAATATTTGCTGATTGTTTCTACACTATTTGTTTTTGTGATTTTTCTAAAGCCCGCCTCAAGCATTAGAACTACAGACAAACCCTGATGCGACCTCTCCAGATTGTCCCAAGTCGATTGATTTCCCAGCTATATTGTGGCCTGAAGCCTCCAGCGTCCACACGAAACCAGATTTGCCTGAAAATGGCTCGGCCAAGTTCAAGTAAGTCATTTTACCCATTGCCTCACCTGCAGCCAAATGTGAAGTACCTGAAAGTCCTACACTTCGAGAGGAATGTCTCTGTCAAATTAGGTATTGGGCAAGGTTTTGGAGAAAGCCACTCTGTCATCTTCTCTTTTTTTTTTTGAGACGGAGTCTTGCTCTGTCGCCAGGCTGGAGTGCGGTGGTGCGACCTCGGCTCACCGCAACCTCCGCCTCCTGGGTTCAAGCAGTTCTCTTGCCTCAGCCTCCCGAGGAGCTGGGACTGCAGGCACATGCCACCACAACCAGCTAATTTTTGTATTTTTAATAGAGATGGGGTTTCGCCATGTTGGCCAGGATGGTCTCGATCTCTTGATCTCGTAATTTGCCTGCCTCAGCCTCCCAAAGTGCTGGGATTACAGGCATGAGCCACCGCGCCCACCTGTCCTCTTCTCTTTTAGGTAATCCCTTCTAGGGCACCTTCAGAGCCTATCTCCTTAATACTCAAGTCCATCTAGGACATTTTGTTGCTTCTGCCAGAATATTTGCATTTAAGCTTTTTACACATGTTTTGTACTATAAAATCCTTATCTCTCTGCAGGGGAGGAAAACTGGTGATTGTCCTATAGGGCAGTATGAGGTTAAATTTTCTCCTGGACAGAAATACTTTGCAGCTCTACCTGGCAAAAACCTACAAATTAACCTGTCTGGGCCCTTAGTCTATAGTGAACTCAGAAGAAGAGTAGGCTTTTTCCTCTCTGGCTCCATTCATGTTTTGGCAGCACAAGGCTGAGAGAAATTAAGACGGTCACGGTGGAACAGAACAGAGGCCTCAGAAATAACACTACACATCTACAACCATCTGATCTTTGACAAACCTGACAAAAACAAGCAGCCTATCTCTGGAAGGGATGTGAGTTCAGGTAGAGCTTTAGTGTGATTGGTGGGGTAGTTGGGTTGGTTGCAACCTGACGAGAATGGCGTGTTGTGACCGTCTTTTGTTATTTCTTTTACTTTTTTATTTTTTAAATTATTTATTTATTTATTTTTTATTATAATTTAAGTTCTAGGGTACATGTGCACAACGTGCAGGTTTGTTACATAGGTATACATGTGCCATGTTGGTTTGCTGCACCCATCAACTCATCATTTACATTAGGTATTTCTCCTGATGCTATCCCTCCCCAAGCCCACCACCCCCCGACAGGCCCCAGTGTGTGATGTTACCCGCCCTGTACCCATGTGTTCTCATTGTTCAACTCCCACTTATGAGTGAGAACGTGTGGTGTTTGGTTTTCTGTCCTTGCGATAGTTTTCTGAGAATGATGGTTTCCAGCATCATCCATGTCCCTGCAAAGGACATGAACTCATCCTTTTTTATGTCTGCATAGTATTCCATGGTGTATATTTGCCACATTTTCTTAGTCCAGTCTATCACTGATGGACATTTAGGTTGGTTCCAAGTCTTTGCTACTGTGAATAGTGCCGCAATAAACATACGTATGCATGTGTCTTTATAGTAGCATGATTTATAATCCTTTGGGTATATACCCGGTAATGGGATGGCTGGGTGAAATGGTATTTCTAGTTCTAGATCCTTGGGGAATTGCCACACTCTCTTCCACAATGGTTGAACTAATTTACACTCCCACCAACAGTGTAAAAGTGTTCCTATTTCTCCACATCCTGTCCAGCACCTGTTGTTTCCTGACTTTTTAATGATCGCCATTCTAACTGGTGTGAGATGGTATCTCACTGTGGTTTTGATTTGCATTTCTCTGATGGCCAGTGATGATGAGCATTTTTTCATGTGTCTGTTGGCTGCATAAATGTCTTCTTTTGAGAAGTGTCTGTTCATGTCCTTTGCCCACTTTTTGATGGGGTTGTGTGTGTTTTTCTTGTAAATTTGTTTAAGTTATTTGTAGATTCTGGATATTAGCCCTTTGTCAGATGGGTAGATTTCAAAAATATTCTCTCATTCTGTAGGTTGCCTGTTTACTCCGATGATAGTTTCTTTTGCTGTGCAGAAGCTCTTTAATTTAATTAGATCCCATTTGTCTATTTTGGCTTTTGTTGCCATTGCTTTTGGTGTTTTAGTCATGAAGTCCTTGCCCATGCCTATGTCCTGAATGGTATTTCCTAGGTTTTCTTCTAGGGTTTTTATGGTTTTAGGTCTTACATTTAAGTCTTTAATCCATCTTGAGTTAATTTTTGTCTAAGGTGTAAGGAAGGGATCCAGTTTCAGCTTTCTACATATGGCTAGGCAGTTTTCCCAGCCCCATTTATTAAATAGGGAATCTTTTCCCCCTTGTTTTTGTCAGGTTTGTCAAAGATCAGATGGTTGTAGATGTGTGGTGTTATTTCTGAGGCCTCTGTTCTGTTCCACCGTGACTGTCTTAATTTCTCTCAGCCTTGTGCTGCCAAAACATGAATGGAGCCAGAGAGGAAAAAGCCTATTCTTCTTCTGAATTCATTTTTACCAGGAGTCCATGGTAGGGAAGAGAGGAAGGGAAGGGGAGGAGGGGTTGAGCCCTTATTGACAGTCTCTATCCTAGGCTGGGCATAGTGTGTGGCTCTGGGCTTATGAGGATGAGTAAGTTCCATCCCTGCTTAGAGGGAGTCAACCATACATGAGAAACCAGTAGGATGCCCCTTATGGCTGGGATACAGAATGAGGCCACGTTCCCTTTAATATTTAAGCTCACCATCTCTGAGCCCCCATCCCACTATGTTTCTTCCTTGCCTGCTTCCTGCCTGTCCCTGGTTCCATCTGTCAGGGGAGGGTTAGCCTCCCCTCATTCATTCAGTCCAAGGGTTAGCCTTGGTTGCCATTTCCTCAAGAGAGGAAGGCCAGGGAGCCTGCTTAGTCAGCTGAGGAATTCAGCTCCACATTTGCTGGAATTCTTAGTGCTTTAACACAGGGTGGCCATCCTTGGAAGATCTCCATATCCAGGGTGGGGCATTCCCGGCTTCAGTATCTTAGGCCTGCAGCAGGCAGTGAGGTACAGCACTCGCTTCTCCAGGGGGAGGGCAGAAAAGGGGCTCTCTGTTCTCCTCCTGGCAGCGTATGTTCAGTGTTGTACCCCTTAATTCTGGCTTTCCAGGGCCACAGCGCTTACCTTACAAGGGCCTGCAGAGCTGCGGTGCCTAGGAGAGAAGCAGAAACAAGCTGTGTCCCCAGCTGACCTCCCTTTCCCAGTTTCTGCTGCCCAAGAGAAACAGTGGCAGCTTCCCCCATCATGAGTTCCAAGTCTGGCTCCTGCTTCTTGTCCTAGGATGAGGACATTTGTTTCAGGGGAAAAAATCCCACCTTGTGATCCACGTAAAGTGCTTGGCATAGCACTTGGGGTGCAGGGAGCCCTCACCACCATAGCTGCTGTCCCTGTGGGTCTGTGTTCAGGCAGGAGAACTGCCTGGAGTTGCAGGACGGGAGGGCAAGCCATGGTCTGTGTCCACAATTACTTCCTCTCGTGTTATTCTCTGTCTTCAGTTCCCTTTGCTACCCCAAGTCTCTGGCAGTGTCCTGTTGAAAAGTTTGGCTCTCATTTGACTTGTCAAGAAGAAGGCCATGTGTCCTCAAATAAGACCCTTGCCCTCACCTTCAGTCGCTGTGCTGAGGGAAGCTGAAATTAGCAAGATCCCCAAAGGGAAGGTGAACTGGGGGAGGAAGGGTAGGCTTTGGGGTCCAGTGGGCCTCAACTCAGCACTCACACAAACATACAGGCTTGTTTTTACTTTTATGAAGGAAGATGGATTCCTTCCCACTAGGCTTTTTTTAATCTTCGTAACATGCCTGCTCTAGGGAAGGCACTACTGTGCACCTCAAAGAGCCAAGGACAGTGAGGATGGAGAAAGGTACGTAACTTATGTAAGATCACACATTTGTGTGGGAGGCAGAGCTGCGGTGCAGAGCCGGCTGTGTGTGCCCAAAGCCCCTGCTGCTTTAAAATATTGTACACTCACCCAGCAGGTCACATGGGGATGGTGTTTTCATGGTACAGGAATGATGTTTGTTTATCTTAAAGTATAACTTCACACTAGGTCAAGTTTCAAGATACAGACAATTGATATGGGATACAAATGTCCAAACTGTACACTGGATTGATAAAGATTTCACTCTGTTTAGGTATGGCAGATTTTCGAAAGTTTTTTGCAAAAGCAAAGCACATAGTCATCATCTCAGGAGCTGGTGTTAGTGCAGAAAGTGGTGTTCCGACCTTCAGAGGAGCTGGAGGTTATTGGAGAAAATGGCAAGCCCAGGTTTGTAAAGTTTCCAGAACATTAAAAGCCTCTGTCGAATGAAACCATAACAGAGTTTGACTCAAATCCTATACCGATCCCCGAAACCCCAGGGAAATGGTTTTTAAGTGAACTGTGACCCTATTGTCTCATTGATTTTGGCATAAACACAAAGTTTCTATGATTAAGATCAAAATTTAAGCAAGGCTGCCACGTTCCTTCCTAGATAGGTGTGGATTGCATTTATTCAGGTAACAGTTTCTCCTAATAATTGTGTTAAAGTGAAATCAGAAGACCTTGGTTAGCATCATTCATTACTTTATTCTAAAATTATTGAACTCAAGTATGACACATAAAGTTTCTGTGAACTTTTCATGTTAAAACTAATGTCAGTTATTGAAGGGTTAGGATTTGATATTCAAAAATTTATAGGAAGCCCTTCAGAATGTAAGTTCTGTGAAGGTGCGGATTTTTTTAATTCAATTTTTATTGAGATCTAATATACATAAAGTAAAAGTCACCAGTTTTAAGTGTACAATTTAATGAGTTTTAACAAATGGACATAGTTGTATAGCCAGCACCATAATCACAATATGGAACAATTCTGTCCCTCCAGAACATTCCTTCATGGCCCTTTGCAGTCCGTGCTCTCCCATCCCACTGGCTCAGGAAATCCCTAGCTTTGGAAGACAAGGAATTGTTTGATTGTTTGAGATGGAGGTTTGCTCTTGTTGCCCAGGCTGGAGTACAATGGCGTGATCTCGGCTCACTGCAACCTCTGCCTCCCAGATTCTCCTGCCTCAGCCTCCCGAGTAGCTGGGATTACAGGCATGCACCGCCACACCCGGCTAATTTTTGTATTTTTCAGTAGAGACAGGGTTTCACCATGTTGGCCAGGCTGGTCTCAAACTCCTGACCTCAGGTGATCCACCCATCTTGGCCTCCCAAAGTGCTGGGATTACAGGCATGAGCCACCGCGCCCGGCCTCTGTTTGTTTTATTCGTTGCATTGTCTCCAGTTTCCAGAACTCTGGCACATTATAGGTGCTTAATGGATTTTCGTTGGCTGAACGAAAGCAGTCATAAATAAATACTGCAATACATGTCTTCCATGGTTAGTAGCTCATTTCTCATTGAATGCAGAGTTCATGAAGCTGCCCCTTCCTTCTTCTGAACATCTGAGCCTGGCAGATGTTTCGGTGTTTTGCCTCCTGCCTGCTGCCATCTGGGTGAAGGGTGGGGGTCATTACCTTAAAGGTGAAGTGGGGAGAAAGGAGAGCAGAGAACATTAGGGGCCAGCAAGAAAGAGGGGCCACTGGGCATTCCCTGGATTAGCAGCAGCAGAGGGTGGGAGGTCAGAGGGTGCGGGAGGAGCTCGGAGGAGGGGCGCTTAGTTGCGTCCGAAAAGGCTCAGAGTTTGCAGACAAAGCAAAGAAGTCAGTAGAATGTATTTGACTCCAACACCCTTCCAGGGACGCCTGTGGACATATTCCTGTGCCACCTATAAACTACTCCAGGCCATGTGTTCTAGGTGAAGAGCAGGGTCGGTGTGGGTCAACCTCTCACGTGGCAAAGGCTGGCATTACCACTAAGCAGAGGGGCCTTTACGGTAGAATGAAATGCACATGTGTTCAATGTAGGAAGTGTCTCCTTGATAAAGAAGCCATATTTCTTTTTAAAATTAATGTTATTGAGGCAGAATTTCCTTAGAATAAAATGCACCCATGTGCATTGTGTGTACAGTTTGATGAGTTTTAACAGGTGCATGCAACTGCGTAACACCCCCACCTCCACTATCAAGAAACAGAATGTTTCAGTCATCCCTGAAAGTTCCCTGTGCCTTTCCCTGCCAGCTCCCAGCCCCAGACAACCCCTACTCGGCTCCTTTACCAGAAAGGAGGTTTGTTTCTCCCAGAACCATATTTAAAGTGTATGTATTTTATCTATTCTGTTTATATATAAAATATACACTTTTTATGTGTAGCTGTGTGTGTTTAGTTGTGTGTGTAGTTGCATGTATGTGTGTAGCTGTGTATATATGTAGATGTGTGTAGTTCTGTGCGTGTAGGTGTGTGTGGTTTTGTGTGTAGGTGTGTGTATGTAGATGTAATTGTGTGTATGTTTAGTTGTGTGTGTATTAACAGATATGTGTAGTTATGTGTATGTTGTGTGTATGTATGTTGTGTAATTGTGTATGTTTAGTTGTGTGTGTGCAGTTGTGTGTATGTAGATGTGTGTAGTTGTGTATGTAGATATGTGTGTATGTTTAGTTGTGGGTGTAGTTGTGTATGTAGTTGTGTGTATGTACAGTTGTGTGTATGTAGATGTGTGTATATGTTTAGTTGTGTGTATGTAGTTGTGTGTGTGTGTAGTTGTGTGTGTGTTTAGCTGTGTGTAGTGCATGTGTGCAGTTGTGTGTGTATGTAGACGTGTGTAGTTTGTGTAGCAGCATATGTGTGTTTAGCTATGTGTGTGCAGTTTATATGTAGATGTGTGTAGTTGTGTGTGTTTAGTTTGTGTGTGTAGTTGTATGTTTAGTTGTGTGTATAGTTGTGTGGATGTAGATGTGTGTAGTTGTGTGTGTATCTTTAGTGTGTGTAGTATATGTAGTTGTGTGTGTGTCTAGTTGTGTGTATGTGTGTGCAGTTGTGTGTGTGTAGATATGTGTAGTGTGTATGTATATTGAGTTGTGTGTGTTTAGTTGTGTGTAGATGTGCGTGTATGTAGATGTGTACTTGTGTGTGTGTGTATAGCCATAGCTATAGTTACAAAAACTGAGTTTCTCACCCATGGTCATTAGAGCTCAATGGGCATTTTGCATTTCATGCTTTCCCTGGGTGTAGGTCAAAATGAGATCCACTTCGTGTGTTTTAGAGCTGCATGAAAAAGGGGATTCGACCCAAAATACCTTCCTGCATGTTCCTTTACTTCATCTTCACTACTTACTTGGGAGGTAGATGGGACAGGTTGCATCATCCCTGTTTTGTCACTAAGGAAATTGACTGATTTCTCCAAGGTCCCTGGGCAGTCCCAGGATGGGGACGTAGGCTGGTACCCAGACCCTGCCTGGCATCTGCCATGTTGTTTGAACATAGTGCTGCCATCTCCAGCCTGCACCTTCCCGACGCTGCCTGTCTCTGCCTTAGGGAGGAAGGGCCTGTGCCCCAGGGTTCAGCATCCTGGCTGTCTCTGCCTCCCTCACTCCTGCCTCCTCTCCCACTCCCAGGACCTGGCGACTCCCCTGGCCTTTGCCCACAACCCGTCCCGGGTGTGGGAGTTCTACCACTACCGGCGGGAGGTCATGGGGAGCAAGGAGCCCAACGCCGGGCACCGCGCCATAGCCGAGTGTGAGACCCGGCTGGGCAAGCAGGGCCGGCGAGTCGTGGTCATCACCCAGAACATCGATGAGCTGCACCGCAAGGCTGGCACCAAGAACCTTCTGGAGATCCATGGTGAGAGACCCCCAGCCTCCCATTCAGGGAACCAGCTTTAAAACACCTGTCCTGCTGTTTCAGCATCACCTCTGGTGCCTTCCCTCCCTCCCTGCTGGACATCCGTCCTGTCCTATAGGATGCTGTGGCATTTCCTTTGGGGACATGTTAGTGTCCCGTGGCACCTGGGCAGCTGCCTTTGGCCATGGGAGGAGCCCCTGACCCACTAACATTATTCACTTAGCAGTTCCTCCATCCTCGCTGCTCAGGGTGGTCTAAGAGCCAGCAACATTTGGCGTCCCCCAAGAACTTGTTAAAAATGCAGAATCTCAGGCCCCATAGGCCCCACTGAATCAGAATCTGCATTTTCCCATGAGCCCAGGTGGCTGGCGTGCTTTTTATACTGGAGGAACGCTGGGGTGCACAGCTGCGTGACCCTTTCCTCTGTGGAGGGGCACGGTACTGTGAGACAATGGCCTCAATGAGCTGAGGAATAAGAGGCCTGGCCCATTGGACAGCTGGGGCTTGAGCAGGAGCAGACTGCAGCATCTTGGGGTCTCCTGTCACTCCCCCTTCATCCTGGTGGGCACTCCCCACTGAGGCTGTGCTTCTGCCCCGCCCTGGAGCCTCAGAGAGCTGCCAGCTCAGTGCTGGACACTGCACCAAGCCCACCAAGCCTGTGATGTCGGTGGACCCCACTGAGGCTGTGCTTCTGCCCTGCCCTGGAGCCTCAGGGAGCTGCCAGCTCAGTGCTGGACACTGCACCAAACCCACCAAGCCTATGATGTCGGTGGAGTTTGTCTTGGGTCCCTCTGGGCTCCTTCCTCTGTCCTGGGTAACCCCTCACCCCTTCACTCTTGTCTTCTGGCTCCTCCCTTCTTTGCTGTCACCACAAATCTAAAACATCCACTTGTCCACAGTCATAATGGGCAAACTAGGGTTTCCCCCAAGGCCATTTGCATTTAAAGAGTCTGCATTCAAATCCAAGGAATGCATTTCTTATTTTTTAAGCATTTATTTCTCTTAATTTAATTTAATTTAATTTTTTTTTTTTTTTTAGCAATGGGGGTTTCACTCTTGCCCAGGCTGGGGTGCAGTAGCCTGATCATAGCTCATTGCAGCCTTGAACTCCTGGCCTCAAGGGATCCTCCCACCTCAGCCTCCAGAGTAGCTGGGACTACAGGCACATGCCACCATGCCCAGCTACTTTTTAAAATTTTTGTGGAGAGTGTCTCACCATGTTGTCCAGGCTGGTCTCAAACTCTTGGCCTCAAGCAGTCCTCCCTCCTCAGCCTCCTAAAGTTTTGGGATTACAGGCTTGAGCCACTGTGCCAGCCAAAAATGCATTTCTAAGTGTAGCATTTCCAGAAGCAGTGCACCAGTCGGGGGTGTTTGTTTTTGCGTGTGTGTGGTGAAGCTGCCTGCTTTTACTTAGATCACCCTGATAAGGAAAGCGAGGCACTACTCATTTCGACTGTGTCTGTCTTTTGTTCATCAGGAACAGCCAGCCACCTATTAACCGAGCATCTTTTTGGTACCTACATCTGCTGGGTCTGAGCCACTTTCCATGTGCCTCTGCTGATTTCCCTGCAGTGTCAGAATGTGGGCTATGTCATCAGCATAAAACCGAGATGACAATGCCTATCTTATAGAATTGTTGTCGGGATTAAATAAGATCATATATGTGTGTTAGTCAGGACTTTTTAAAATTTCAAACGATGAGAACTCTCTTCTAACTTAGGTTAAAAAAAATCAATGGCATCTTCAGTCTGATGAAGGGTTTTTTTTAAGATGCATCATGTTTTTAATGTGGCATTTAGAATATAATCTGCCTAAACCATGATATACTATTTTATTATCCCTTAGAATTATTCTATACTTAGAGAAAGAGCTTGTTAAAACTTAGACACGTTCTTTAGAAATTATATCTTTCCAGGCATACATAAAGTATGAGTATGATAAACTGGTCCAAATATTTCTCATTATCTAGCTCTTCTAAATGATTCTGAGTGACTCAGAGCACGGATGTCTGTGTTTTCCATGCAGTTTCATGCTCTGTGTCTCGGGAGATGGATGATGCAGCGTTTCCTGAGAGAATGCCCCTCTGTTATAGCTGGGATTCTCATCCAAGCTCCTGACACACCTTCCGCAAGTTCGCTATTGGGCCTGACATGTTCTTACCAAAAGGCATCAGTGGAAAGGCTGTAGACAACAGCCAAAACTTGCTTTCCTTCCTGAAGTGGCCCTTGAAGGGTTTGTTGGCGGAAGGATCCAGGGGCTGAATCTGCCCGGTCAGGCCACGGAGAATAACAACAAAGTCACCCCATTTTTCAGTGTTCTCCTTCAACAAGTCTGTGCAAGCATGATGATGATGTTACAGTCTCATCTGGCCAGTAGCAATTGTAGGACACATCTGAATTTCAGAGATGTGAAAATGGGGAAAAATGTCTATGCTAAAACTGACAAAGTAGGTTTATTGGCTCACAAAACTGAGGAGCCTAGTGGTGCAGCTTATGTCATCTTTCCTCCCGGCCCCTGTCCCCCTCCTTCTTTCAGCTTTGCTCACTCTTTGAGGTGGCCTCCCTTCTCTCTCTGCAATTGATCTGTCTCCACGCGCCAAGGGAGAGTGCCTCCGACGGCTCCAGCTCAGCCACCTGCTCAGAAAATAAACCTCTGGGTAGGCTTGCTTGGTCCACACGCCCACCCTTCTGACCAAACACGACTGCAGAGGGATGGACACCACATGGGGGCCGTGCGCAGCATGTGGCTGAGCTTGTATTTGGGATGTGACCCACAGCCCTATTGGCTCAGCATGCGAGAGAGCAGGGATGGTGCTCCCCAAGGAAGGACTGGTGGGCAGGACGGAGCAGCGCATGTCCACTAGGGTTGAAAGTGCTCTGCACGGCACCAGTTGCCTGGTACCCATTTCATAAACTGTGGCCACCATGATTGCTTCAGCTCAATAAGTGGTGGTTAGTATTAACAATTACTTTTTTCACTTATTAGTTGATTACTTATTTATTGAGGTGCTTTTGTATAAAAGATTCAAGCTTTCTGAAATCGAAGTTAAAATTTTGTAAACATATCCCACGCCATTGAACCTTTGTCAGTCATGTCAATAAATCACGCCCTTAGATTTAGGTTGAGCTCCCTCTACCCTATTGGCAACTTCTGCCCACTTGAACACCACTCCAAGGTCATCTGATGGCACATTAGTCATGGAGTTATTTATTTTTCCTCCAGATTATAAAGTCCTTGAGGGCATATGCTCTTGACTGGCTTAAGAGTACTGCATGCCTCTGTTTCCCATGAAAGCTAAAGCTAGGGTAGGCCCATTTGCTAAAATGAAGTATGGCTCAGTGTGGCGGTGCACACCTATAGTCCCAGCTGCTCAGGAGGCAAAGGTGGGAGGATCGCTTGAGCCCATGAGTTGGAAGCTGCAGTGAGCTATGATCGTACTGCTACACTCCAGCCTGGGTAACTGGGTGAGACCAAAACATGAAATGAAGTGTGAAAAATAAAGTATCTTATACCCTTTTAGACATGGAGAAGGTTGCTCTTGATTATACTAAATTCTGGATTTGCTTCATATGTATTTTTCAGGTAGCTTATTTAAAACTCGATGTACCTCTTGTGGAGTTGTGGCTGAGAATTACAAGAGTCCAATTTGTCCAGCTTTATCAGGAAAAGGGTAATTATACCACACTACAGAATAAGTATAGGTTGTTTTCTCCTTTAGGTTGAACATAAATGTGAGGAAATTGAACATTCATCAAAGATTCCCATGGATATTTATGAGAAATAAGACTAAATACAAGGCTGGGTGCAGTGGCTCATGCCTGTAATCCCAGCACTTTGGGGTTACAAGGTGGGGAGACTGCTTGAGTTCAGGAGTTCAAGACCAGCCTGGGCAACACAGTGAGAAACCTGTCCTACAAAAAAACAAAACAAAACAAAAAACCACAAAAATTAGCTGGGTGTGGTGGCACATGCCTGTAGTCCCAGCTACTAGGGAGGCTGAGGTGGGAGGGTTATTTGAGCCTGGGAAGTCAAGGCTGCAGTGAGCTGAGATCATGCCACTGCACTACAGCCTGGGTGACAGAGGGAGACCCTGTCTCAAAAAACAAACAAACAAACAAAAAAACTAAATATAGCCATGTGATAAAAGAAATATTTTGCTCACAACTTACAGTGTTAAGTGAAAACCACAGGGTCCTAAATTTGTACACACAATGAGTTCGTGTATCTGTATATAGTTAAAAGACCAGAAGAAAATACAACAAAATGTTAATAAGGAATATCAGGAGTGGAGGGATTATGGGTAATTTTTAATTTCTTCTTTATATCTTTCTGAATTTTCCTATATTTCTATTATGAACATGTACTATTATTACAATGAGGAAAAAATTTGAGGGTAGACACAATATTGAGAAAAATTCCACTCAGCCTTTTAAAAACAGTATAAATTGTATAAGGACTATATAATGTCATTGCAGAGGATACAAATGATGATGATGATGATGTATAAAGGTAAACATGAAGTTCCCCCTTGGCACACCCAGCCACTCCAGCCCTCCCCACACATGCATTCCCTCACTGGCAGTACAACCACTGGTGATTTTTTTTTTTCTGAGACAGGTTCTTGCTCTGTTTCCCAGGCTGGAGTACAGTGGCACAATCACACCTTACTGCAGCCTCCAACTCCTGGGCTCGAGCAATCCTCCTGCCTCAGCCTCCCAAGTAGCTAGGACTATAGGCACACATCACCACACTCAGCTAATTTTTGTATTTCTGGTAGAAATGCAGTCTTACTGTATTGCCGAGGGTTGTCTTGAACTTCTGGCCTCAAGCAGTCCTCCCACTTTGGCCTCACCAAATGCTGGGATTACAGGCATGAGCCACTGTGCCCAGCACCACTGGTAATTAATGGCTTGGGGTCCTTCCTTCTAATGCCCTTCCAAGTGAGCATGTATTAATTAGGAGTTTTATACCACATACTGCCAGGCAAATATACAAACTGAGTTATGTTGTTTCTTTATTTTTTATTATGCCAATAACAATCTTTCTTTTCTAATATTATTTACTTCAGTGCTCCAGAACCTGGAACTCAAGATGCCAGCATCCCAGTTGAGAAACTTCCCCGGTAGGTAGAAAACTCTGATTTGTACTGGTGTTCCAGGTTACCAAAACAAAAAAAAAAACAGACATCAAAACCTAAACATGTATTTGGCAAGACGCCTCTTAAATCAAATGCACAAATGTAAAAACCAGGCTTGATCTCTGAGACCAAAAGTGAAAGGACAAAGGATGAACCAAATTAGGATGAAAAGAATGATTTTTTTCCAACCTCTTTTTGCTTTGTGTTGTGGTAGGATCATTTGAGGTCGGGAAAGTTTCTGAAGCTGTCGTGCGACAGGTGGTTACCCAGTGTACAGAAAGCATAGGGGCTGACCTGTAACTGGTCAAATAACATCACTGGCATTATTAATCCAGGGTTAGGGAGGCAATGAAAGGACCTGAATAGGAGAGGTTACAGGACCAAACAGAATGTTCATAGATTAAAAAAAAAAAAAAAAAAAAGGAAGATTTTTATGCCAATTTTTCAAAACCAGGCATTAAAACAGCACTTCTATAACCTGTAATTGGATTAGAAGTTTTTTTGTTGTGTTTATTTTATTTTATTTTTTTTTGAGATGGAATCTCACTCTGTCACCCAGGCTGGAGTGCAATGGTACGATCTTGGCTCACTGCAACCTCCACCTCCTGGGTTGAAGTGATTCTTCTGCCTCAGCCTCCCGAGTAGCTGGGATTATAGGCGCCCGCCACCACGCCTGGCTATTTTTTGTGTTTTTAGCAGGGATGAGGTTTCGCCATGTTGGCCAGGCTGGTCTCGAGCTCTTGACCTCAGATGATCCACCCGCCTCAGCCTCCCAACATGCTGGGATTACAGGCGTGAACCACTGCACCCGGCTGGATTAGAGTGTTTTTAAGGTAAAATAAAACAGCACTTCTAAAAGTGTTTCATAGAACATTAATTTAATGTTACGTTGAGACATTACTTGAAAAAAACATGTTAGGCACTCAAATAAATATGGAAATGTTAGACTAAACAAAGTTAAAATATGTTTGCTTTACTGCAGGACTTTTTAGAGCATTTAATCCACATTGCTGCCTTCTAAAAAGTGGTTGTAATACGTATGTTAATGCTTTACTGGCTTATTTAACCACAGAACCTTTTAAATTTTCCTCATGAGGGTTTTAATTGCTAAATATTAAAAGTTTTCTTCTGAAGGAATAGGTAGACCTGGAGGATTCCTGTGATGCAGGAGATTACTATGATGAAAATGGTGTTTGGGGGATGGTTTTAGGAGGTGTATAGAAGGTAACCCTGAGGTAGGAGGGAGTGAAAGAAGAGAGATTTTTAGTAATGGACACAGGAAAGCTGGCTACATACTGGGCCAGAGAGACATGAACCTGAGAGAACATGAAAGGAGGTCATTGATGAAATTAGGGGATGCTTGGGGTGGGAGGCAAATCTGAGTCCAGTATGTCTCCCAGGTCTGGGTGGCTGTGAGCACAAATGTGAGCATAATGAATGAACTGGGAAAGCTTAGCTGAAACAATGTGTCAGCACATCAA
Organism: Homo sapiens; assembly: GCF_000001405.40. Taxonomy (NCBI): domain Eukaryota; kingdom Metazoa; phylum Chordata; class Mammalia; order Primates; family Hominidae; genus Homo; species Homo sapiens. The sequence goes on from NC_000006.12 coordinate 13,598,513, forward strand.
GTACATACAGACAAGATAAAAAATAAGGACAGTTCTGCAGGGCGCGGTGGCTCATGCCTGTAATCCCAGCACTTTGGGAGGCCGAGGAGGGCAGATCACCTGAGGTCAGCAGTTTGAGACCAGCCCGGCGAATGTGGTGAAACATGTCTCTACTAAGAATACGAAAATTAGCTGGGTGTGGTCACACATGACTGTAGTCCCAGCTGCTCGGGAGGCTGAGGCAGAATTGCTTGAACCTGGGAGGCAGAGGTTGCAGTGAGCGGAGACCATGGCATTGCACTTCCGCCTGGGCAGCAGAGTGAGACTCCGTCTCAAAAAAAAAAAAAAAAAAAAAGACCATTAAACCTGATGCTTCATAAGCAAGGCAAGTTTATATAGGCTGGGAGGGAGGGTGTAGGGAATAAGAGGCATCAGAGGTGACCCATCTGGATGTACTAGGTTTGGGGCAGCCCCTGGCCTCCCTCCGATCCAGCTGGGCAGACTTGGCTCGGGGTTGGCTTAAGGATCCCATTCTTCCAGGTGTGAAGAGGCAGGCTGCGGGGGCTTGCTGCGACCTCACGTCGTGTGGTTTGGAGAAAACCTGGATCCTGCCATTCTGGAGGAGGTTGACAGAGAGCTCGCCCACTGTGATTTATGTCTAGTGGTGGGTCATGCCCTTCCCTAACCCCAGGACAGGACTGGAGTTTGTTATTTTTTCCTTCCCCCTCTCCTCTTTTCCTTCCTCCCTCCCTTGCTTCTTTCCTTCCCGCCTTCTCTCCTCCCTCCATTTCTTCCTTTCCTTCAAATGTATGTTGAGAGGTCTTTGTGGTATCCTATAGAAAAACTGAGAAACAATGAATAAGAATTTGTATTAAAATAGGAAACCATGCATGTCTTGGGCATCTCAAAGCCTCCTCCCCCAGCCCCACCAAAAACAAAGAAAAGAACATGCTATTGGTTTTTTAAATAATACATGCTTATGATTAAATTTAATTGAGAACATGCAAAAATTATCACATTATAAAGAGGAAATTAGAAATCGCCCATAGTTCTGCTATCCAGAAATAGTTACCGTTAGCAGTTTAGTATGTTTTCTTCTAGACCCAGGAGTGAGCAAACAGCAGCCTTTGGGCCACATTGGGCCTGCTACCTGTTTTTGGAAATAAAGTTTTATTGGAACTCAGCCACACTCATTCTTCCACACACTGTCTATGACTACTTTCAAACTACAAGTGGCAGAGTTGAGTACTTGTGACAGAGATTGAATGGCCTGCAAAGCCTGAAAAATTTACTGTATGGTCATTTTCAGAATAAGTTTGCCCACCTCTGGTCTAAACCTTTTCTTATGCAGATGTACACGTATTAATTAAAATTCAAAACTGAGTTCATGACATATGTTCTGTTTTGAAACTACTTTGTTCACGCAGCAGTTCACTTAGCATGTTCCATATCAATATGTCTAAATCAATATCATCTTTCAATTGACTGTATGGTGTTATATATGGATAAGGAATGATATATTTAGCTAATTCTCTACTGTAAGACATTTGGGCTATTTCAAATTTTGATAGTTTAATCAATGATATCGTGAATATCCTTAGATAGAAATCTTAGCATGCTCTTCAAATGATTTCCTTAGGACACATTTCCTAAAAGTGGGATTCATTGGACAGATTGTATGCGTATTTCAAATTTTTCTTGACACGTCTTTAAAAGCAGAGGCACTTTCTTGTGGTGCGTATTCATTCAGCCAGTATTTAAAGAATGCTTCCCAGTGTTGAGTATAGTGCCACTGTTGATGATGGATTGTTAAATGAGAAAAGCCGGTTTACAAAACAGGTCATGCTCTTCCCATCCCTGTAAAGAATGTTTATAAGCAAATATTTATAAGAGAAAACCTAAGAGGACATACATGAAAATGTTAACAGTGGTTATCTTGCGGTAAGATTATGGATGATATGTATGTTTTTTTCTTCGTATTTTCTACCTTAAACAAAAAGATAGAAAATATGTTTTAAAAAGTTATGGATCATTTGTTTAACTTTAAAAAGCAGAAACAAAACCAGAATTAACCCCAAAACATGTTGATTGAGTCACTTCTATGTCACTCTTTGCATAACTCTCCTTTTCATGTCACATATTCTTCTCGATTCTAGTGATTGATCAAAGGACACCTCTTCACTTTCCCTTGTCCCTTGGACACCCTGTTTTATCCCATCCTGTTTGGCTTTTCTCACACCTGCAACCACAGACCTGCCTGAGTTTGTGTAAGGTTTTCTGAAATAATGTTCCTTCTCCTTGTCGTCTGGCTGTTTGTTCATCTCCGTGTACTTGCCTTGTAGGTGGGCACTTCCTCTGTGGTGTACCCAGCAGCCATGTTTGCCCCCCAGGTGGCTGCCAGGGGCGTGCCAGTGGCTGAATTTAACACGGAGACCACCCCAGCTACGAACAGATTCAGGTACTGGGATACCCTGATGGGAGAGGGAGATGTGGGAGGCAGGTACAGACATGGTCATCTAAACATAGTTGACCTACTCCTCTAATTTTTAAAAAAGACATAGGGTTTGTGTTTTTTTGTTTGATCTGCAGTTGCTTTTATGGAAGAACAAAATCATTCACTGTAGACTAAGGTAGGGTAGCTCTGTCATTGTATGCGAAATTTGCCGTGGGACTTTTGTTTGTTCACATTTTGAACGCTCTTCTTGGATTCCTTAGGCTTTGCTTTCCCTTACATTTTTAAGCTAGACTTAGTGATGACCTGTAGTTGTAGGTTACCCAAATGCTCCGCAAGTAAGCCTGGGAGATGCCCTTGCAGAACCTCATCACCTGCCGTTCTTACTGGGAGGCCACCTGGCAGATACCCCTTTGGTCTAATCGCCAAGGTTATTTGTATCTGTGGCCATATTATGACACTGATCCTGCTTCCCAAGTTTGGGTGGGAAGTGTAGATTGTCATAGTATGCATTTTTAGTCTTATTCCTGGGTCTGTTTTATTTCTTCATCCATGTTCTGTCTTTTTTCTCACCCCAACTTTTTTTTGCTTTTACCTCTAATTCTTGTCCATCTAGTTAATTCCTTTTGAATAAGTTAGAATATAAATAAGTAGTAAATTAATATAAATGAATAAAATAGAAAACTTCATTGAACCATCTTGTCATTACTTTAATCAACAGTTTCCAACCTTGGCTGCATATTTTAAAAATACTGATGCCTGGGTGCCACCTCATGAAATTTCGATGTCATTGCTCTGAGTTGCAGCCCAGACATCATCATTTTGATAAGCTTCCTAGGTGATTCCTGTGTGCAGCCAGGATAGGAACCACTCTTCTAAGTCTTTGCTGGGATTTAAAAAAAAAAAAGAAAAAAGAAAGAAAAGGGGCCACAGACACTTCAGTAGGCCCCTCCTCAAGTGAGTGAACTGGCTCTGAGCCTCTTCTTTTCCATGTGTCTTTTTGATCAGCTACAGCCTGTGTTCTTGATCCATAGTTCTTCATCTGTGTGTGAGTAGTAGGAACTAAGAAGATAGCCTTAAAAAAAAATTGCCTCCTATGCAAAACTTATACTCTGAAAACTACAGAACATTATTGAAAGAAATAAGGAAGGCCTAAATGAATGGAAACATATCCAGTGTTCATGGATTGGACAACTTAATATGATTAAGATGGCAATGCTCCCCAAATTGATCTATGGGCTCAATCAACTCAGTCCCTATCAAAATCACAACTGGCTTTTGACAGCAATTAATTGAAAAGATTAATCTAAAATTCATATGAAAATGCAAGGGACCCAAAATAGCCAAAACAAAATGAAAAATGAAGTTGGAGAACTCATACTTCCCAATTTCAAAACTTACTATGTATTAACTAGGCATGATGGCACATGCCTGTAATCCCAGCTACTTGGGAGGCTGAGGCAGGAGAATCGCTTGAACCTGGGAGGGGGAGGTTGCAGTGAGCCGAGATTGTGCCATTGCACTCCAGCCTGGGCAACAAGAGTAAAACTCCGTCTCAAAAAAAAAAAAAAACTTACTACAAAGTTGCAGTAATCAAGACAGTGTGGCACTGGCATAGGATAGATATATAGAATCAGTGGAGTAGAATTGAGAGTCCAGTAAAAAACAAAACAAAACAGAACAATAAAACAAACCTCACATTCATGGTCAACTGATTTTTGAAAAGAGTGGCAAGACAATTTGATGAAATACAGTCTTTTTCAAGAAATAGTGCTGGATACCCACATGCAAAAGAATAAGCTTGGACCCCTCTGTCACACCATTACAAAAAATAACCCAAAATGGATCATAGACCTAAATGTAAGAGCTAAAAGTATAAAATGTCAAAAGAAAATGTAGGAGTAAATCTTTGTAACCTTGGGTTAAAGCTTTCTTAGATATGACACCAAAAGAGCAAGTAACATAAGAAAAATGGATAAATTGGACTTTATCAAAATTTAAAACTTCTGTATTCCAATGGGTACCATCGATTAAGTAAAAAGACAACCCACAGGCCGGGTGCGGTGGCTCACGCCTGTAATCCCAGCACTTTGGGAGGCCGAGGCAGGTGGATCATGAGGTCAGGAGATCGAGACCATCCTGGTTAACACGGTGAAACCCCGTCTCTACTAAAAATACAAAAAATTAGCCGGGCGTGGTGGTGGGCGTCTGTAGTCCCAGCTACTCGGGAGGCTGAGGCTGGAGAATGGCGTGAACCCGGGAGGTGGAGCTTGCAGTGAGCCGAGATCGCGCCACTGCACTCCAGCCTGGGCGACAGAGCCAGACTCCGTCTCAAAAAAAAAAAAAAAAAAAAGACAACCCATAGAATCGGAGAAAATATTTGTAAGTCTAATATTTGATATTTGATAAGGGATTTGTATCCAGGATATATAAAGAACTCTTACAACTATAAATAATAAAAAGACAATCCAATTAAAAACCAGGTCAAAATATTTGAAAAGACATTTCTCCAAATATATACACATGGCCAATAAGCATATTGAAATGATGTTCAGTAGCAAAACCACAGTGAGATACCACTTCACAGCCACAAGCGTGGCTATAATTTTTAAGATAAAGGAAAATCACAAGTGTTGGTGAGGAAATTGGAACCCTCATACATGGCTGATGAGAATGTACAATGGCGCAGTCATTTTAGAAAACAATGTGGCATTTAAATATAGGGTTACTATATGATCTAGCAATTCTACTCCTTGGTATATAGTCCTAGAAATGAAATCATACATCTACACAAAAATCTGTACACAAATGTTCATAGCAACTTGTTAATGGAAAAAGTAGAAACAACCCAAACGTCCATCGACTGAAGGATGAATAAATAAAATTTGGTATGTTTGTACAATGGACTATATTTTAGCCATAAAAAGAACGAGATATCCATACATGCTACTACATGGATGACCCTTGAAAACGTTATGCTAAGTGAAAGAAGCCAGTCATAAAAGACCATATATGGTATGACTTCATTTATACGAAATATCTAGAATAGGCAGATCAATAGAGAGAAGGTAGATGAGTGGTTGTTTTGGCTGGGAGTAGGGAGGAATTGGGAGTGGGTGCTAATGAGAACAAGTTTCTTTGAGGTTGTTAAAAATGCTCTAAAGTTGATTGTGGTGATGGTTGTATAATTCTGTGAATACACTAAAAGCCACTGAATTATATATTTGAAATAGGTGGATTGTATGTGAATCAAATCTCAATAAAGCTGTTAGATAAAAAGTTAAATGATCTTCTAACTTATCTCCTGAAAAATGCACATTGAGCCTCCGTCTGATTTGTGTTGTGGCACCTATGTGGAGCAGCTGGGCCACTTAGCATGACTAAGCGTAGTAATACCGGAGCTAGGCAGCTCAAGCCTCCTGTCTGTTTGAAAGACCATCAGAAAACTCGAAGAGTGGGACAGGATAAACTTTGTGAAGCAGGACCTGAGCTATGTCCCCAGTTTGGTTCTTCTAATGTGGTTTCTTTTCAGTCATTTGATCTCCATCTCATCTCTAATTATTATAAAGAATTAAAACAAGTCATCATTGTAGAAAAGCAAGAAAATGCAGATAGAGAAAAAGAAGAAAATAAAACTGGAGTATTTCCACAACCCAAGTTTAGAGTTGGCCCCCACCTCCCATGCCATGGACTGAGCAGCAGGGGCCCAGCATCCCTTGGATATGGTGGCTGTGTCTTCATGTGAAAGAAACTGAACTTGGTGGTTTTTCCTGCCAGTTCAGGAGAGATTCTTGGCATGTAATATATATCACTGCTCAAGTCAAGCCTCCTAAAACCACAGACCTGTTTCAGCTGCTACTTCAGCCAAAATTCTTCAGCTTCATATTGTCTTGAAAACCTATGATTGTCTCTAACAAACAGGCTACTTGCTAGTTAGAAATTCTTATCAATTTGGCAAGCTACTTATCAACCAGACTGACCACAAGAACTGTCATCTCATCAATGAAGGAGTAACTGATCAATGAAGCCAGCAATGCTTTTTTCTTGGCATCATCAAAGCTGACATTTAGAAGAGATGCTGGTGATAGTCATCTCATCCTACTCAATTTTTCAAAGGCAGAAACCAACCCTGGAGCAATTGAGAGGACTGTTTAAACACAGAGCTTAACAATGGCAGAATTGTATATCTCGTGCTTAACAGATTTTGGTTGAACTTTACCCTAGGTCAGGGGTCAGCAAACTACTGCCTGTGGGCCAAATTTGCCCACCACCTGTATCTGTAAATAAGGTTTCATTGGAACACAGCTGTGGCCATATGTTTGTATATTGTGTGTGGCTGCTTTTGCATTAGGATGACAGAGGTGAATAGTTGCAACAGAGACTGGCTGGTCTGCAAAGCCTAAAATATGTCCTGTGTGGCCCTTTACAGAAAAAGTTTTCTAACCCCTGCTCTAGGTTACGGAGAAAAAAAAAATGGAATAATGTTCTCTGCTACTTTTAACCTGATTTTCTTTGTTACCTAAATAGGCAGCTAGAATGCTGCCTATATTTTAATAAGGATTTGGATCTCACAAGACACCTTAGGCCTTACACAAGTTGTTCAGATTCTTTGCCCCAGTTCTAATCTAGTGACAAAGGCATAGAATTCTCCTCCCACAGGAATGTATTTCTATTTTCAAGGTGTTAATTAGTTCCAGTTTTGGTTTTGTCGTTTTCCCCATGTCCGATGCTTATATTGGATGATTTCTGATAAACCCTGACTATTCCAATAAACCCTAGGCATTTTTGAATTTAAACCTCAGTGTTTTGACTGTTACTCAACCCCAGGGGGCCTTGGCTTGTAGGATTTGTACATTCGCTGAGGCAAAAATGGGACTGTCGCTGCAGGGAGCTGGTGGCCAGGGCCTTCAAAGCACCTTTGGCCCACTGTGCCCTGCAGCCACTATGTTGTGCCCTGTTGATCTTTAAATTTCTCTAAATGTTGGAATTTAATTAAAGTCCACAAATATTTGTAAGTATCCACTATGTATCAGACACTTTTCTAAGTGCTTAAGATAGGATATATCAGTAAACAAAACAAATATCTACCAAGGAAAGATTATATTCTAGTGGTTGAGGCAGACAGGTAAGCAGTGAACATAAGGTACACATTCTACAGCACGTGAGCAGGTGCTAAGAGACTGCACAAAGTAAAGATGCACAAACCTCATTAAGAAGAGATTGGAGCAAAGACTTGAAGGAGGTGAAGGAGGCAGCCGAAGACATAATCTGGGATAAGAGCTTTTCAGACACTGGGACCACCTGGAGCAGAGGCCCCTCAGTGTGGCTGGAGTGGAGTGAGGAAGTCCCAGGAGAGGCGAGCAGTAAAGTAATGGAGTTGGGGGCTCTGGGGAGGGAAGACACCCAAGCTACCTGCTGTTGGAGTTTAGAAGTCTAAGGAATTGTTAGGTAGAAGAGTTTTATAGATTGTTGTGGTTATATAGTTACCTATCTAGGGTGTGAAGAGGTCACTGCTTTGAAGCGATAGTTGACCGTGTGTGTTAGGGAAGTCCAGCGCTCTCCCTGGCTGTGCTGTCAAGGGCGGGTAGGGAAGCCCTCCTAGTCCATGCAGTCAGGGCTTAGTTGGTCTGTTCATTCAAAAAGCCACTGAAAACAAGACTAATAGAAAAGGACACATACATACTTTAAACATTTTGATATAAAGCATAAATCTACCTTCATTTGCTTTTTGTTTGTTTTTTGTTTTGTTTTGTTTTAAGACAGAGTCTTGCTCTGTTGCCCAGGCTGGAGTGCAGTGGCGCAATCTTGGTTTACTGGAAACTTTGCCTCCCGGGCTCAAGCAGTCCTCCCACCTAAGCCTCCCGAGTAGCTGGGATTACAGGCGTGCACCACCACACCTGGCTAATTTTTGTATTTTTAGTAGAGACGGGATTTCACCATGTTGGTCAGACAGGTCTCAAACTCCTGGCCTCAAGAGATCCACCTGCCTTAGCCTCCCGAAGTGCTGGGATTACAGGCGTGAGCCAACACACTTGGCCTGCTTTTTTTTTTTTTTTTGGAATAGAGCTAAAGGCCTTTTGTTTGAGTAGGGATCTGCTGATTGGAGCTCACCTTTCTTGTCGTATCCATAATCTTCCTCGTGTTCCCCAAATACCCCTGAAGATACGAATGACTCCAGCCCTTATTTTATAAAACAAAACAGACAACCAGGAAAATCAGATCCCAAGGCCCCCACCTAGACTTCCTGAATCAGAATTTCTAGGGGGAAGATGCCTGTTTATCTGTGTAGTTAGCAAATGACCCAGGTAATTCTTACCAAGAAACCTTGGCAAACACTGGATTACAACTTCTGGTTTTTGATATTTGTCTGTTTTTTTTTTTTCTTTTAAAGGAGAGCAAGAACTTAGGAAAAGAAACATGTGAAGCAGTCTTCCCCCATCTTTTACACCTACACCTAATTTAACCAAATTATATTTAGTGACTCAGTATGTCTTTCCCAAGCATTCAACTAGTTTTCCTAGAAATAACTCTCTTAACAGCTCTATTTTTGCAGTTTATTACGTAATTTTAAATGCAGCAGGATGATTACATTAACCAATGCAAGTGGCGTGAGCAGATGTGCAGCTAACACTGTAGTCGTGGTTGTCCTACAACTGGTGGGGGCCAGCAGAGTGCACAGGTGTGCTAGAAAGAGGCTTTCAAACACTGTTCATGTTTGCCTTTCCCATTTTAAAAGTTGACATCTAAGGTTTTTTAAATCAAATATAGTTGGAGATGTGATTCCAAGTGCATTGGAAACACTGCCATTTTATTTATTTATTGATGTTTGAGACAGAGTCTGGCTCTGTTGCCCAGGCTGGACTGCAGTGGCACGATCTCGACTCACTGCAACCTCCGCCTCCCTGGTTCAAGCAATTCTCCTGCCTCAGCCTCCCAAGCAGCTAGGACTACAGGCGTGCGCCACCACACCCAGCTAATTTTTTGTATTTTTTTTTTAGTAGAGACGGGTTTTCACCACATTGCCCAGGCTGGTCTCAAACTACTGACATCAGGCAATCTGCCTAGCTCAAGCTCCTAAAAGTGCTGGGATTACAGGTGTGAGCCACTGTGCCTGGCTGAAACACTGACATTTTAAAATAAAAACTACCATATCATTGTTTAAAATGTATCCAGTCCAATCTGAATGTTATAACTATCTGGTACATACCACCATCCATTTACAAAATAAATATACAAGCCCTTCCTTAACAATTGGAAACTTTGCATTTTTTCTTTTCTCTTTGAACTTGTATTTCCATTCTATCACTACTACAGAATTTATACTAATGTAATATATTTTTATGCATGAAAATCTTTTACTGGCCAGGTACAATGGCTTATGCCTGTAATCCCAGCACTTTGGGAGGCTGAGGCTGGAGGATCACTTGAGGCCAGGAGTTCAGGACCAGCCTGGCCAACATGGCGAAACCCCATCTCTACTAAAAATACAAAAACTAGCCAGGCGTGGTGGTCCACACCTGTAATCCCGGCTACTTGGGAGGCTGAGGTGGGAGAATCCCTTGAGCCTGGGAGGCAGAAGTTGCAGTGAGCCAAGATCGTGCCACTGCACTCCGGCCTGGGTGACACAGTGAGACTCTGTCTTAAAAAAAAAAAAAAAGAGAGAGAGAAAGAAAATCTTTTACTGACTACCTATTATACTTCTACAGCAAAATATCATATGAATTATTTAATTTTTTCAATTTCCTTAAAATGTTAAAAAATGCTTTACTAAAACATCTTCTAGATAGAATTATCACTAATCTGCAGTGCATAATTGTAAAAACAAAAAATACATATAAATGTAGATTAATAATTCCAAACAAGTAAAATTTTATTGGATTTTTTTTTTTTTTCTTTGAGATGGAGTTTTGCTCTTGTTGCTCAGGCTGGAGTGCAGGGTGCAGTCTCAGCTCACTGCAACCTCTGCCTCCCGGATTCAAGCGATTCTTCTGCCTCAGCCTCCTGAGTAGTTGGGATCACAGGTGCCTGCCACCACGACCAGCTAATTTTTGTATTTTTAGTAGAGACAGGGTTTCACCATGTTGGCCAGGCTGGTCTCAAACTCCTGACCTCAAGTGATTTGCCCACCTCGGTCTCCCAAAGTGCTGGAATTACAGGCGTGAGCCACTGCTCCTGGCCTGGAAATATATCCTTAATAGATGAATGGGGCATAAACTTTTAATTGGTCCATGTTTCTATGGCTGAGTGTTACCTATTGTTGGAAGGAGACAGTTCCTCCTGTTCTAACCCAATCCTCCTGTAGTCACCATAAACAAACCGGTATTCTGTCAAGATCAGGTTTATTGATTTAATGCAATGAGGGAGACCGGACCCCCGTAGAACTGAGAAGTGTTTCCCAATAAGGGAAAGGTGGAGTTATTAAAGCAATTGGGGGGAGGGTGAAGTTTAAGTGAAATTTGAATGAAGTAGTTTTTGATAGACTCAAGCAACTAGCAGGGCTGTACAATGTAAAGGGGTCAACATCATGTCTGGCTGGCAAAGTAGGCCAGGGTCCCACTTCCCCAGAAACTATAATACCAAGTTTAGATCAACGTGGAATGTTGTGTCCAGAAATCCCTTATCTGAAGCTCTGCACCTGGGTTGGAAATCCAGGCTGCTTCTCAGTATCAAAGTGACTTAGATCCTCAAGGCTAGAGGAATATTTCATTCTTTACTGCTATAATTTCAAATAGCAATGTTTCCAATAGTTTATAATATTAAGGAACAAAATCCAAAAGCAGTAGTCACTCAAAGAATGGAATTAAGACATTTTGCAGCTTGTCCTAGGGGAAAATATATTGTTTCCTATTAACTTGGCAGCTGGCTTTACCCGTGTCTTTTATTCTGATCCAAAGAATCGCTGGGCAGATTTTGACCTGCCAAGCTAAATTTTACTTTTTCAATGTCAATTGTAATCTTCAGTGTTGTTTTTTATAGATGTAAGTACTGAAAGACCTGGGCCACCTAAACTCTAGGCATGAGGGAATTATTTTTTTTTAAGAGAGGGAGCTCCCTCTGTCACCCAGGCTGGAGTCTGTACAGTGGTATAATCATAACTCACTGCAGCTTCAAACTCCTGGCTCAAGTGATCCTCTCGCCTCAGCTTCCGGAGTTGCTGGGACTACAAGCTCGTGTCACCACGCATGGTTGTTTTTACTGTTACCTTTTTGTAGAGACGGGGTCTTGCCATGTTGCCCAGACTGGTCTTGAACTCCTAGCCTCAAGCGATCCTCCTGCCTCAGCCTCCCAAAGTGCTGGGATTCTAGGCATGAGTCACTATGCCCAGCCATGAAAGAAATTTTGGTATAGCCTTGCCACTCCAATTTTGGACCACCTTCCAAGTTGTATGCCAAAATACACAGAGTAATTTTGTATCATACTTAGCGATCTATTCACTGAAAATCCTTTCCGACCCTCTTTCAACTTTATTGAAAGCAAGAATGAAACCAGCCTACTTACATATGAAGGTGTCAGATCTACACCAGTATTCCAGACGTCCCTCTATTTGGTACTCCATATGTTTCACACTCCCTCTATTTCACACTCGGGGATGAGGTATCATTGTAAAATTTGGGATGGGTGAGGGGTCCAGCTTGCTTTTGTAAGGCGGAAGAAGGCTGAATGTGGAAAGGGGCACTTGAAATCACTTAAGAAAGAGAAGAGGTGGAAATTGAGGATCTGGGAATTCCCTAAACGCTCCCCATGGCTGGCAGTAATTCCTGGATAACCACATACTGGCCTGGAACTTTCTGGAAGTCAGTGCTCAGCACGTGGCAGGGGGCAGACGGACTGGAGATGCCGTGTAGTCTGGGCTGTCCATTAAGTGGCACTCTGTTGATAGAACAAAGCATTTGAGGGATAAGGCAGTCACTATTTGTATTGTATCAAGAATAAATAATATAAATGAGTTGCACTGAGGAAATGCCTTTTCTATTTTTAATTGTGCTCAACTGGTTTTCTTTTAATAATGCATGAGGAAGTCCTGCTTTTGCTTCTTATTCATAGTTTTTTTAAACAAAAGTCCATGATTTTTCTTCTTTTTTCTCCTTCCTCTTTCTCTTTTTTCTAACTACACCTCAGAAGCTAGTCAGAAAGTTCAACAGGTGGTTTGAGAGGCTCGTTGACTTAGCTGAGATCCTAGTGGTCAGATAGTGCATGGGTATTTTTTTCTCTTGTTCTCAGTACTACCTGTGAATGCTGCTGTAATGTTTTATGTGTGTGTGTGTATATATATATATATATATATATATATATACACACACACATACACACACACATATATATACACACACATATATACACAAAAAAGTATGTATTGTGTCTATATATAACATGCCAAACATACGTGTTATATAGATACACATAAAACATATATATGTATATAAAATACATATATAACACACATACATGTATATTTTATACTTACAATTTCAATGAGTTTGGCAGTACAGTCCCAAAATACACTTTACTTGCATAGGTTCTCAGGATTTGAAAAAAACAAACAGAATACACTTTGTAATCATGTCTCTTACACTTTGAAATAAAATTCTTCTTTATGGCACATAAATTCTAGACATTTGCTTCTCAAAATTCCCCCAGTCACAGAGCCCAGCCCATAGTGAAGTGTTATAACTAGAGTTGTTAGAAGCTAGTTGAAAGAAGTGGGCATGGAAATTCATAATACCATCTTTATGAGAATTTGGGTTTTACTTCGGCTATTACTTCAGAAATAAGTGCTTGCTGAAGTAGGGCATTCATTTTGCTAACCTGTAGTTCAAAACTGCTGTATTTGCTTCTTCTCTTTCAGGTTTCATTTCCAGGGACCCTGTGGAACGACTCTTCCTGAAGCCCTTGCCTGTCATGAAAATGAAACTGTTTCTTAAGTGTCCTGGGGAAGAAAGAAATTACAGTATATCTAAGAACTAGGCCACACGCAGAGGAGAAATGGTCTTATGGGTGGTGAGCTGAGTACTGAACAATCTAAAAATAGCCTCTGATTCCCTCGCTGGAATCCAACCTGTTGATAAGTGATGGGGGTTTAGAAGTAGCAAAGAGCACCCACATTCAAAAGTCACAGAACTGGAAAGTTAATTCATATTATTTGGTTTGAACTGAAACGTGAGGTATCTTTGATGTGTATGGTTGGTTATTGGGAGGGAAAAATTTTGTAAATTAGATTGTCTAAAAAAAATAGTTATTCTGATTATATTTTTGTTATCTGGGCAAAGTAGAAGTCAAGGGGTAAAAACCCTACTATTCTGATTTTTGCACAAGTTTTAGTGGAAAATAAAATCACACTCTACAGTAGGTAATTTATTGTATAAAGACATTACCCCACGATATGGCTTTATTAGGGACTTTTTTTTTTTTTTTTTGAGACAGAGTTTCACTCTTGTTGCCCAGGCTGGAGTGCAGTGGTGCGATCTCAGCTCACAGCAACCTCCGCCTCCCGGGTTCAAGAGATTCTCCTGCCTCAGCCTCATGAGTAGCTGGGATTACAGGTATGTACCACCACACCCAGCTAATTTTGTATTTTTAGTAGAGACGGGGTTTCTCCATGTTGGTCAGGCTGGTCTTAAACTCTCGACCTCAGGTGATCTGCCCGCCTCGGCCTCCCAAAGTGCTGAGATTACGGGCATGAGCCACCGCACCCGGCTTACTGGGGGCTTTTTAACCTTGTTTGGCTACATTACCTCAGTGAACAAGGGGAAGCTCACAACAGGAACTCACACAAAGAAGGAAGAGAACAGTACCAACAAGGTAGAACATCACGATGAGAAGAAAGAATGATGCAAATATGTGGACCCCCAGGATAAACACAGCTGCCCAAAATTTAGCTCTGGCCCCCTTAGATGGGGGAAGTCAACAGTGAAGTGTTTCTCAGCATCATAAAGGCAGAAGCTGTGGTTCCTGTGGGGCCTGCCAACCGTTCCCAGATGCTGAACTCTGCTGGGAGTTTTTTCCATGGGACTTTAAAAAATGATGCCCTTAGGTTGGGCCAGACCTCTGTTAACTTCAGTAGGGATGGCACCAGGTTCAAGAGGCCAAAGAAGAGACCTGGAGCTAGTGAAGGAAACATAGGGTTTATTTGGGGAACCTTACAGGGTGGTCCAGTGGCCGCGGGCTGGACAGAACTGCAACCACTTATAAAAAGCATGCAGTTTACATAGCACTTTCACTCAGCACCCTCCCCTCAGCAGCCTCCACGTGGCAACCCTCACTTCTTAAGTTATTGCTGTCAGATGCATCTGCCATACAGGGTCATTCTCAGGGGATGCTTAAGTTATTTCTGTCAGGTACATCTTCCATACACTTTACTACCTTGGAGTAAAGTAGTAAGAATACAGCTTTTTCCTTAACCTTTACCAGCTAACTCAGTGCTTAGGGGCCTTGGAATGCCTGCTGTCCAGCAGGTGTCACAGGCCTGACTGGGAGGCATGGCCATTATCAACAGTGTATGAAGGTCACATATGGCTCCCTGAAGTGATTACATACTTGGACCACATCACCTCAGCCCCTTGCAAAATTGCATTTAATGTTACACCCTTGGCTTTTGTAGAAACAGGCAACAAGACACTATCATATAAAACTTTGTACTGCATTGCAAGGCATAACCTTTAATAAATCCCAGTGGTCCTTTGTGTAGGGAACGGGGATGCTCATAGCCTATGGGGCGGCTGGAGAACCAGTCAGGGACCCTGAGGGCTCGATGTACACTTTACATGGGTGGGCCAAGGAGTTTACACTGAGGGCACTGGTAATACCTGTAATAGTCTTATAGTACTTATAAAGCAGTTTTGCACATAAAATACCATCATGCACTTATAAGTTTGTTCTTGGGCTGCTCCAAGTTAACTTTATTCATTTTCCTAGTGTTAGTGTCTCAGGGAGTCTGATTATATTTTTGATTTGTAATTTCTATCTGACTAAGGCCTAGAGATTTCAAAACTGTTCTTTGCAATTCCTCTCATACTGAACCTCTGGTTCAGCAGCTTTTTTTGTTGTTGTTGTTTTCAAGTTTTATCATTTTTGTTCCTATTTGGTTTTGTCGTTTTTAAATTGAGAATTGCTTCTAAAACAGAAGACATGAAAAGAGAATTAAAAATACAATATATGTGTAAGATAGAATTATTCAACTTAGCATTTATTAAACATCTACCAGATGATAGACATTAGAAATAAAATGACTAGCAAGACCTGGCCCTTCCCCTCAGGGGTTCACAGAATGGCTGGAGCAACTGTCATATAAGCTGTTATGAAGTGCAGAAACTACACAGACATTTGTGCGGGTTCAGACCAGCGCAATTAGAGATGGGCAGAGTGGGATGGGGTAGGGGTAAGGTGCTTGAAATTTGCCTGGGTGGGAATTTTTGAAGTATAAAAAGGACTTCTACCTGGGGGGCTGCGGCAGTAGAGGGAAGAGCACGGTCGGTACAAATGCATGGCAGGTGTGAAACAGTTTGATTTGTTCAAAGAATGATGAATCACTTAGTGTTGTATAATGGATGGGAGGAGAGAAACACAGCGATCACAAAGGGCCATGTTTGCCAAGAAATAAAATATACTTGGAAAAAAAGTACGTATGTGTATATACCACAAAACTCGGGTGCATTCTCTAGGGACCGGCGAAGCCATTCTTTCAGGAGATATGCTCAGCATTTGCCACGGGCCAGCTGCTGTTCCAGGTCGTGGGTTAGGGCCCGGCACCAGGAAGGGCGCCCCTCCCACAGGGCCGACATCCTAACCGGCGTCGCTGCGGCCGCGGAGCTGGGAAGGCCGAGGGCGCCGGGCACGTCTGTGCAGATTTCTTTAGAGTCCAGGTCTGTCGCCCGCGTCTTCGTCGGTGGCAGCAGGGCTGACTGGCCACGGCGGCCATCTGCTAGAGCGCATTTCTTCCCATGAAACGCCACCTCCTCCGAAGTGCGGAGCGAACGCAGCCAAATCTACACAAAGACTGACAAGCTGGATCCACTCGACGGAACCCAGGGCCAAAAAACGGCGGCGAGCAGCGCCTCGGGCCCGCGATTACCGGTTTTCTGAGCACCGGACAGCGTGAGCCGTGCCAGCCCTGTCTCGCCATCCCAGCCGAGGAGGGCAGCGCGATGGCTCTTCCCTGCCTTGAAATCAACCCCATTGCCAGCCGCTTTCGCCGGCAGAGCATTTTCCGTGGGGTCCATCCGGCTCCAAGGCGGCCTGCGCTGGCCACGTGGAAAGAAACACGCCCACTGCCTACAGGCCACGCCCTTCCTCCCTTCGCGCATGCGCCCCACCCGTCCTGAGGACCTCCGAACCTGCAGGGGGCGATGAAAGTAGGCTTGCGCTCCGCTTGTAGCTGCTTCCGGGTCAGAGGTCAGACGGTCTAGCGCTGCGTGGGCCATGGTGCAGCTCCGACCGCGAGCGTCTCGCGCCCCGGCGTCGGCGGAGGCGATGGTGGACGAGGGCCAGCTGGCCTCGGAGGAGGAGGAGGCGGAGCACGGGCTGTTGCTCGGGCAGCCCAGCAGCGGCGCGGCCGCCGAGCCCCTGGAGGAAGACGAGGAAGGGGACGATGAGTTTGACGATGAGGCCCCGGAGGAGCTGACTTTCGCCAGCGCCCAGGCGGAAGCGAGAGAAGAGGAGCGGCGAGTGCGGGAGACCGTGCGCAGGTTCGGAGCCCGCTGCCCGGCGGGGAGAACCGCCCTTTCTCGTCCCGCTTGTCCTTCCCTTTGCTGACTTATCACCCTTCCTCCCAGGGATAAAACGCTCCTGAAGGAGAAGAGGAAGCGACGCGAGGAGCTGTTCATCGAACAGAAGGTTAGAGGCTAGGGAGGAGGTGTCTTATTAAAACAACTCGGCTCAGGGAGAATTCCTATGGTGGATGTAATTTGGGTTGGCAGGATATTGGAGTGGGGAAACAGTCACCAAGATTGCCTCTGACAGTGGTGGAAAGATGCTCGGGCCGGGCGCGGCAGTACTTTAGTTGGACGAGGTGGGCGGAGCCCGGGATGTCGAGGCTGCCTGGAGCCGAGATCACACCACTGCGCTCCAGCCTGGGCGACAGAGCGAGACCCTGTCTCAAAAAAAAAAAGTTCGTCTCCTTTAGTGTCCACCAACTGAAAATAAGAGGTTGCTGTGAGAATTAAATGAGGTGATTTGTAAACTGTAAGGGCTGTACAGACTTAGTGTATGGTTGCTTTGCTGTCTGATACTCGACACAGAGAGCTGGCTCCAGGCAGACATTACTTAACTGCTTTCAATTTATAACAGTGACCTGAGGGTTAGAATACCGTGGGCACCCTTTCTAGTTTTCATCAAGTCTTTCAGAGAATGTGGAGTTTTGTGGACCCGGTCTTCCCATAGCTTAGAGGTATGGGGGCAGTTTCCAGCCTAATTCATTTCTTTGCCTAGATGTAGGGCATTCTTAAAAGCGGTAACTTCAGAAGCAACTCCGGACATACTATGTACATGACTTTCTATTAATTTTAAACGTTTTCATTCCAAAAGAAAAGAAAACTCCTTCCAGACACTATTTTGGAGAAGTTAACCACAGCTTCACAGACTAAGTAAGTAATGGATCTTTTTATATTACTTGCTTATATACACCCATCTTTGAATTATATACTGGTACATTTATTTGAATCCATATAACTGAAGGAATTGTAGAACCCAAATTCAAAAGCTACCTTGGTATATGAATTTGATGGGAAAGACGGAGGTAACGTTCTACTTCTTATTTTACCATTTATTTTTGTTCATTCCCATAGCTAGCTTTTGAATTCCTGATCCCATTGTGTTCATTCAGTACATTTTGTTGACTGCCTGTCATTGTACTAGGGCATAGTGGGTGGTGGTGAATAAAAAGTGTTTTGAATCATTTAGTGGGGTAGCAGGCACTTATCCACAGGCTCTGAAAACTTGATTTGTCCCATACTTGCCTTACCTGCCACCAACCTGTCCTTCCTGTTCCCCACTTCATTTAGCATCTTTGGTGTTTTATGGTTTAAAGCGAAAAGCTATAGTCGTCTTTGGGAATTGATCAAACCCTACTAAATTTAGCCTTCTAAATTTTTTTTTTTCTATCCTCTTTTTCTCCCCTTAAGGCTTTAAATTCAGAAATTCAGCCCCCTTTTGCTTAGGCCAGTGACTCTCAAGTTTTCAGTAAAAAAACTTTACCAAAGAGTTACTCAGATCCTGAATACATTAAACGTAAGAGCAAATCTATTTGGTGGCAAATTCCCTTTCATCTTTTAAAACCAAGCTCAAGTGTCACCTTTACCTTCTCATTTGCCCCCCCCCACCTCCCATCACTTCCGCTTTTGTGTGGCCTTTCTCCTGTGCAAATGCTTCTGTATTGTATTCTGTCCATTTACATTTCTCTCTCCATTGGGCCACAGCCCCCTTGAGGCTGTTCCCTGTCTCCTGTGCCTAAACTATTAAATTAATCCTTTGTGATTTCTCCAAATGAAATGAGGCAGACCTACTCCCATTCACTTCATATTTCAAATACTTTATAACTTGTTCTGAACAAGTGTTTCACTTGAACTCCATTGCCCACAGCATTTTGCTGCTTTGAAAGCCTGCTAATAGGCTCTCAGATTTTAACTGTGAAGATCTTCCAATGCTTGAGAGTTGGTGGCAGTGTACTAGGGAGTGACTATTGCTTTCCAAACTGATGAGAGCTCCTGAGTAGAAATTGAGGGTGTTGGTAATGAAAGGGGGTGTCTTACTTGTAAAGGCAAATGAAATAATATAACATGTTTTGAGTAATCTTTACTGCCATTGCAGTCAGTGGTTTTGTTTTTTTTCCTTAGCATCAAGAAATCGCCAGGAAAGGTGAAAGAAGGTATGACTATTCTAATTTAACTAACTTCTCATGTAAGTGTCAAGTGCACTTGCAGATGTTTCCAGTCAAATATGAATGGCCCTTAGAAAGCCAGCATGGGCCTGGCCAAGGTTAGCTGGGGCCTATTCCCTGTATTTCATACAAATAAAAACTGCATCCACATTGGTGTGTAGTGGATGCTTAAAGTGAACTCCAGTAAATTTCCTGATTTATTTTTACGTGAATGCTAATTAGAAAATGTAACTCTATTTTTTAGTTAATTTGCAAAAGAAAAATGAAGACTGTGAAAAAGGAAATGACTCCAAGAAAGTTAAAGTACAAAAAGTACAGTCTGTCAGGTAATGAGTCTTTTGTTTCATTTGGGATGTAAAGGAGACCTTTAAGAGAGTTAAAGTATTGGCTAACATGGGAAAATATTTTATTTTATTTTATTTTATTTTTATTTTTTTATTTTTTTGAGACGGAGTCTCGCTCTGTCGCCCAGGCCGGACTGCGGACTGCAGTGGCGCAATCTCGGCTCACTGCAAGCTCCGCTTCCCGGGTTCACGCCATTCTCCTGCCTCAGCCTCCCGAGTAGCTGGGACTACAGGCGCCCGCCACCGCGCCCGGCTAATTTTTTGTATTTTTAGTAGAGACGGGGTTTCACCTTGTTAGCCAGGATGGTCTCGATCTCCTGACCTCATGATCCACCCGCCTCGGCCTCCCAAAGTGCTGGGATTACAGGCGTGAGCCACCGCGCCCGGCCGGGAAAATATTTTAATTAGTAGTAATTTCAGATTGTCGTCTCTGTGGAAAAACCAATTTTGGGCCGGGCATGTTTGCTTACACTTGTAATCCCAGCGTTTTGGGAGGCTGAAGCAGGTGGATTGCTTGAGTCCAGAATTTCAAGACCAGCCTAGGCAACATGGTAAAACCCAGTCTCTACACAAAATAAAAAAAGTAAGCTGGGCGTGCTGGTGTGCACCTGTATTCCCAGCTACTCCAGAGGCCAAGGTGGGAGGATCACTTGAGCCCAGGAGGTCGAGGCTGCAGTGAGGCGAGATTGTGCCACTGCACTACAGCCTGAGCGACAGAGTGAGACCCTGTCTCAAAAAAAAAATCGGTTTTCATAAAAAAATAAAGATCAGTTGAACACTTTGTCTTTGCAGGTCCTGCAGGTTAAGTTCAAAAACTTTTTTTTAGTGGTTTTATTATTGAGAAAATTTCATTTCACCTCTCCCAATAGATAGATGTTTATTTCAAGATACACTGCAGCCTACTGTCAGCACTTCAAACTTGCCAGCCTACTCTTATTCAGGCAGTTTAATTTTTCTGGCTGCTGAATGTTCCTCCAGTCACCAGCCCTTATGGTGCATGGTGCTGATGCAAAGACAGTCATTCCAATGGAAAGGTTGTTCACCACTATTGCCAGTCATGGCAATTCTTCAAAAGGAGTCATTTTTCACAAAATTCAACCTTTCCCTGACAATATGGCCTTATCTTCTATTCTTATGGTCTACAGAAGTCACAGAGAAAGTGCCTATTGCTGTTACTGGAATTTTGGCCGATACTGTGGACGATGTCTGTAGTATCTGTCTTGAAGTCCACAGGCATTCATTTGAGTTGCATTCAGTACAGCTTGGTGGTCCAAATCATTACTTGCAAATCGGTGTTTTAGCCACAAGATCAAATATAGAAACAAATGTAAAGCAAAGTGCAAGACCATGAGAGGAATTCATCACAGTATGTTGGACTTTTCATTTGGAAAAACTTATTTGGCACAATCGATTTGGAAATCATGCTGTCAATTCTCTTTTACTACATGTATCCGAACAATTTCCTGTTAACTAATGTTTTGACTTTTGGTTTTAGTATATTTTAGTACAAAAGTCCAGGAACAAGTTCTTCAGTTGGATCTATCTGAGATGCTGATTGTTCAACTGATGAACAAAACCACCATGTGCTCTACTAAAATATGAGTGTCTGTTTCTTGTAGTCCTTGTAATTTAGTTTTATCCTATCTGTGCATATATAAAATTAGTTTCATTTATCACTATGAGACAAATGATAAAAATATTTTAAAGTAAGCATGTAGCCTGGGCACGGTGGCTCATGCCTGTAATCCCAGCACTTTGGGAGGCCGAGGCTGGTGGATCACAAGGTCAGGAGTTCGAGACCAGCCTGGCCAACATGGTGAAACCCCGTCTCTACTGAAAATAAAAAAATTAGCTGGGCATGGTGGCAGGCACCTGTAATCCCACTATTCAGGAGGCTGAGGCAGGCAAGTTGCTTGAACCTGGGAGGCAGAAGTTGCAGTGAGCTGAGATCGCGCAGCCTGGGTGACAGAGCGAGACTCTGTCTCAGGAAGAAAAAAAAAAGAAAGTAAGCATGTGTAATTCTTATTTAACCTTTTATATTGATCAACAGCCAGAATAAAAGCTACTTGGCCGTAAGGCTAAAAGACCAAGATCTGAGAGATTCAAGGCAACAAGCAGCACAAGCCTTCATACATAATTCATTATATGGGCCAGGAACCAACAGGACTACTGGTAATTTTTTTATGGACTATTTTTCTCACTTTTTACTGCAAATAAAACTGTGAAATGATAAATACCTTTCTTTTCTAGTAAATAAGTTCCTGTCTCTTGCCAACAAGAGGTTACCAGTGAAAAGAGCTGCTGTCCAGTTTTTGAATAATGCTTGGGGTAAGATCCAGCTTTATTCTCCTGTCTCTAATAGCTTTATATGTTGAATAATGTTCTTTTGAAGGAGATAGTTCATAATTATACTTTTCCCCCTTATAATGGCTTATATATTAAGTTACTTGTGAAAAACAGGTCAATGTAGTATGTATATACATCTAAAGTATAATAAGCCCACCCAGTTTTAGTAATTACATTCATATAGAGTAATTAAAAAAATTTTGAATTATGTTTTTCTAATATACTTACTGCAGAAAACTTTATATTCTAGGAATCCAAAAAAAACAAAATGCCAAGAGGTTTAAAAGACGGTGGATGGTCAGAAAGATGAAAACTAAGAAGTAAATCAATGCTAAATGAAGAATCTGTACTTTGTATGTATAGAATTTATCTAATAAATCATTCATAGATCATTTTAAAGGATCATTATAAAAATCATAAACCTATTTGAGGAAGTGCTCAACCACATTTCATTCTTCTGGAGTAGAACTGTGCCTTGCAATCCTAGAGGAAAAAGTGGTTTAAGAAGGAATTGTTTTCTTTTTAATATATTTAACTGAATTCAAGCCATACCCACATCAGCAACAGCACCTCTTCTACTCTCCCCGGGTTAGAGGGGTGGCAAAAATGGCACGGACTAAAAGGAGAAATGGATATTCCAGCAAAGTCTCTAACTGCAGCCTGTAGACAATTTGCTATTAAAGATTCAGTGCACAAAATATAGCTAACAGCTTTTAAATTTTTACTTTTAACCAGTCTGGGGATTTGCTTGCCTGGTGAGTCTCATATGCCATATTATGAATATGAAAATAATGAAGTTAATTTCCTGTTGCCTTTCTGTGTCAGCCACAATATCAGGTCTAACCCTAATCCAGGGATGCCAGTAAACTGAAGGCAATTTTAGGTTGTAGAACTCAGATTAATTGTAGAAACCATTAATTTTAATTGCTCTAATTTTCATAGTAATCATAAAAAGTATGCAAGTACCTAATATATAAACTCAATTGACACTGTATCTGTAGAAGTAAATTTTTAATGGCTGGTTAATTATATCACTACATTTTATTGCAATATAGTACTCATTTAAGCACTTAAAAATGGAAGGTGTACAAAGATTAAATTAAGACACGGTAAATTGACTAAATATTTGGTTTTTATATAAATAAAGGTCATAACCACACCGTTGACATGTAATACTGTTATAATACAACAGTTAAACTTGTGAGTCTACAACAGAAGTCATCTGTAGTTAAACAGGAAACAAAGTTGAAAAAGACCATGTTAAAACAAAACTACTGGGACTAACAGGTCGGGATTGTAAGTAGCAACAAACATATTCACTCAGCTCCTGAGTATTTCAAGTTTTACAGTACACATTAAAAATGATTTCTTCCATCAACACTATAAATTCAAACTGTCGGATGTTTATGCATTTTGCAAGTTACACTGATTGAATGCTTATATGGGAGTGGGGGTCGGAACATCTCCCAATTTGAAGTTTACATCACCCACATGCTAACACAAACACAACTTGTTCCATTTCCTTCCCCTCTCTCCCCCCTCCCCCACAAAGAAGGCAGGATTTTTGGTTTCTTTTAGGTAATTGTTTTAAAGGATTTGTGATGATCAATTTGAACGTCTGAAATTCAGTAATATTTAACTCTTAGACAACTAAGAGGTTAAAGATGGAAAATAATTTCTCCTAACACTAAGTTAGAAAATCATTTGCATCATGCTGTAAACTAGGAAGCAATGTAAAGCGACAAAAACCTGTCCCCAGTACATAATTTAAAAAATCTAAATTTCAAATCAGCAGAGCTGGTCTACTTCCATGTTGACTATATGCCACAATATAAGTGTGAGCTCTTGAAATGCATAGCTAATGTAGGTAGTCTTCCACTGTGGCAAATGCGCAGGATCCAATTCCTGATCGAGCCATCAGTCCTAGACATTGTGTGGCCTGTCCCATTGCTAGGGCAAGTGGAGGTTGCTTTGGCAGATTGTGGGTTTCTGAGGAAAAATAATTTAAAAATGAGAACAGCAATTAGCAAGACATTTTAAAAAACATTTCAATCAGGAGAATACTGCAATGACTTTAAAAACTACCACTCCCATACCACTCTGAAATATCAGCAAATGAAGGTTTCTAAGCAAAAGACAGATGCCGCCTTGGACATACTATTCTGACAAGGTAGTGTGGGTATTGTGTATTCAACTATAAGATAAACTCTGGCAGAATCAGACTTTTAAAGTATCAGATACTAAAATACTTCCATATTAACTATGATGGGAAAGGTACAATTTTTTATCTGATATTTGGAGTGGAGAGTAAGGAATTATTTCCCTTCTGGTTGATCAAAGTCAGTTGATACTAACTAAAACTAAAAAAGGCACCAGGTTTTCATTACAAGTTTCCACTGATGGGTTCTTCCACCTCTGTGGATAGGACCAAACAGGCTGCCTAGCCATCTCCAAGGCATATATAGGTAATGTTATTTGGGCTGGTGGGGAGTAAGTGGTGGTGGTGACAGTGAGAGAACATACAGCAGAGCCACCCCACAGTTTTGGAGGTGCTAATTTACAGTGGACAGTTCAGACATTTAAAAAAATGCCAATAAATTTTCAGGGTCCTGCATATCATAAGTTTCTTTGTCAGACATTTGTAGTACAAATGCAATAATTAACAAAATTTGTTCCTTGCCAGAGATGGAAAAAAATGAACTAATGGTAAAAGTGGCCAGACTCAGAAGCTGGTAATTTCTCTTTATGAGAAGGCAATGTCCAAACTAATCAATAAAATTACTAATCAGTTCTTTATAGGCACAGTTGACAACAAAGGGCAAAAACAGTTGACACATGGCTAGGAAGGCTTCATATGGTTTAACTCCACTCTTGGTTCAGAGGATGCAATTTGATGGTGGAAGAAAGAAGAGGAAATTTCCAAAAGGGAAAAAGCACAATATCAGAAAGAAGCAAATTCAGGACTTAAAGGTAGAAGAGAAAACAAAAACAGGATTAAGAATAAACGTGTGCAAAAAAGGGCACATAGATTGATGAGAAAGTGTGGTGTCTTGAGGGTTCACAGGGAAGACCGTGCTCAAAGACAAACATCTACAGGGAATATTTTTTTAATTTTATTTTGGCCAAAGGAAGCATCTGGCGATGCATCTTTAACTTTTTTGGATGTATGAAATTTTCATAACACTATATAGATGGACCTACATAATATAGCATGGTATTTATAAACATATACATGCCCATCTATAGCAGTTTAATAATTGTGTCATTAATTTTACAGGAATCGCATACATTTATATTAATAAGATTAAGCACTATTTATGGCTGAATCTACATAATATAGCACAATATGTAAGAGTATATGTGTCTATAGATAATGGTGCTCAACAATTAAATTCCCTTGAAGAACTCAAGAAACTAAATTGTAAGAAAACTGGTCACTTTAAAGATTAGTATCATCTAATAATTAGGTCTTAATGATTACCTACAATATAACTTCAAAAAGACATTTATAGTAAACCATAATTTTCCTTACAATTCCAGCATTATTACTAAGTTACTTTTACCAACGGAGCTAAATGAATTTTGTAGAACCAATGAAAATATAACACATTAACCAAAGAAAATTCACATTTATATACAAATCCTAAATTCCGGAGAACTACAACACTGAGGACACTACTCCTATTCCCAAACTTCAGTATTGGTCCTTAACAAATTAATAAATTTTCTAAGGGCAAAGAAACAGACTGAGTCTTAAATATGAATGCTTTTCATTGCTTCCTTTACATTCTTGCTGTAAGAGTCCTGGCCCTCATTGCAAGTCTCCCTATCTAAACTACTCTTTAATCTACTTTTTGTGGCACTGCCCTCATCTTCCTAAACTAGTTTGAAATATGTGACTAAAAGTCCCTGAACCTTGCAGGGCCAAACAGCACAGCACAGACTTCTAAACTAGACTGGAGTCCCAATTACCTGGGAATTAGACTCTGAAGTCAAATGAAAACTCACTCTTTATATAAATTACCTTTGATGAGAACTGCCCAAAACTCAAACTTGTTTTATGTAAACAATCGACCCTATCACATTTATATAGAAATGCACAATATGTGCAGTTACACAATTCATATAAAAAGTACTTGTTCAGTATATAAATACTATAATCACAAACGCTACAGTGAGCTGCTCATAGGAATGGCAACCAAACGAACATCGAATTAGCGTTTCGCACTTGATGCTCACCCCTGGCTAAGCCTCGCCTTTTAAATTGCTTTTCTCTTCCTCACCCACCCTTTTTATTGGGTAAGGGCATGTAGTTGAATCCGGCTAATATAAATGCAAATAGAATGTGACATCAAGGCTTGATCCTGCCGGGTACTCACAAGTCATCAGGAAGCCCCTTGTGCCCATATTCATAAGCATGGTGGGAGCTGTGATACCAGTGGCTTAGGCTGCTGCTACCCATTGCAAATTTAGCTCAAGCAAAATGGTTGGGAACCAGGTAACAGGGGAGGACCAGCTAGGAATCCTGCCCTCTACTGGATCAGTTTGAGCTTCTCTGATATTCAAGCTCTTCACTCCCTTACTTCCATTTTCATTCTCTCCATCAAAACCTTTCTTGACCTCTTTTCTTCAAATGTACCCTGTTCCCTTCTAGCCTAACTCTTGTGACAATTATTAATCTATGTTCTTAACGTTCTCCGATTCCTTCTACAGCAGCCAAACGAGAGAATGCCACCCAATTCCTAGCCTAGAAATCAGTGGCAGAAAATGCCTTTCACTAAAGAGGGCTGTAAGGAATGTCTCTGGTAGGGTAGTATTTTGAATTATACACAAGGACCACCAAATCTCTCATTCTAATGAGAGAAGTAGACATTCGTGGCTACCAGAAATGCTTACATACATGCACACAAAAACTTCTATTTCCCAAACATCCCAAGTTGTACCCCATCTTACTGTTTTTATTCTATTTAAATCCACTTGAATCTGGAATTAAAGGAGGGGGTTTCTATATTTTAGGTATTTTTATATTTTAAAAATATAGAAAACATTTTCCTGATGATTTTACCAAAGTGTAAATGCCAGTACAAACACCCTCTCTTAAATTTTCAGAGAATCTAACTGAAATTGTGCCTTATTTGGCTTTACTTACCTAATATTGCACTGTTAAGAGCTGAGCACACAGGTTCTCTCTGAATCGGGTCAAGCTGATTTCCAACTGGGCTGTTCCAGGGATCTGAATATGCTAGTAGACTGAATGCATCCTGTTGAAAACACATCGATTTGGTTTTAATTCAAATAGTTCAACTATTATGCTCACAAATGTTTCCAAGTTGAGAGGTAAAATATGGCTTCCAGGCACAGACTAATAATGTAAACTTTAAACCCATTTACTCCCAGCACTGGGACGCTCTACATTTTTGAACATTAAATTATGCAGCAAAGCCTAATTTATTTTCATTTTTCCTGTGGACAGCCATTCTCATTCAACTTCCTCCCATCCCTAAACACAAAACAGGAAAAAAAAATTTCAAAGGAATGAACTAGTACTGGTGTAGGGAGAGTGGAAGGCAAAACATTCAGATGTTTTACTTCACAATTTATTACTACTGATATGAATGTGACAGTCAAAGGACAGGGCCTGTCTGCATTTCCTTTTTTCAACAGATTTAGGAACTGGACACATCTCACTGGGATGTCATCTTCTCAAATTCAGTTATGAAAAAATTAAACAGGCTGCCCTTCAGGACCTGTTTATGCATTCAGTATTTCCAACTATCTCAAGCCACACCTCTTCAAAACTTAAAATGACTGACAGTCGTCTTCTTTTCAAACAACTACTTTATATTTTTTGTCTTCTTTCTATGGGAGGCACATACTAATGGTGGTTTCAGATACTGGCTTCAAGTCCAAGCTCCACCACTAACTGGCTGTGTAGCCTTTGGCAATTGACAATCTAAGTGCCAGTTTCATTACTGCATAATGGGGACTATAAGAGGCCCTATTTCCTAGATTTGTATGAGGACTAAATGAAATTAGCAGTATCAGTTCATTCTAATCTTTCAATAAATGACGTCTTATTATTATGCCAAAAGTCAATACCCTAATCCAGAGCAATATTATACAAATATAAAAATAGAGAAATTCAGAACACTCTTACCAATTTGGAAGGCAGACATGGAGAGTTGCTGCAGAAACTGTCAATTTGTGAGTTCAGGAACACAACACTTTGAAAATACTGACTACTGAAATTCCTAAAGAGCACCATCTCCTAGGTTCAGCTGCTCAAAAAACCAGATTCCACACCCATTTTCCATCATTTCTCTAGTTATCTTACTAGTGTTATGAAAGCAGAGGTGGGGGAAAGGCTTCTGATTAACTGTACTCTTGCCCTTTCTCATCCAAATAAGCCTCTAATATTGTGGATTTAAAGAAGAATAACCCATGAAGAAATGCTGTGAAGTCAGTCTGAGACCACAAGGCATGGAATACACGTGCCTCTACGCAAACACACATGGCTCCTCCATTGTTTTATATTGCTGAGTATTTCATTCTGGGTAGTTTTCTCCTCCAATTACAATAGAAGTTCTTTGAAGATAAAAATTATTTACTATACTATTTTGAATCCCCTGAAGCTATGCAGGTGCTTGGTACAGGAAGATAATTCATATGCCTGTTGAGAGCAAGACCTGCTTCTTCCAGCAATGAAGATGTTTTATGCATCCCACAAAGCTACTTGGTTCTACTTCCCGCCCCTAACCCAACCCACACTTCCCAACCCATGGAAAGAATATATGACCCTTTATCCTGTAAAGCTAACTCAAATCAAACACATTATTTTGTTTTTGGCCGGGTGTGGTGGCTCACACCTGTAATCCCAGCACTTTGGGAAGCAGAGGCAGGCAGATCATTTGAGGCCA
Organism: Homo sapiens; assembly: GCF_000001405.40. Lineage (NCBI taxonomy): Eukaryota > Metazoa > Chordata > Mammalia > Primates > Hominidae > Homo > Homo sapiens. The sequence goes on from NC_000006.12 coordinate 13,627,421, forward strand.
GGAGTTCAAGACCAACCTAGCCAACATGGTGAAACCCCATCTCCACTAAAAATACAAAAATTAGTCAGGCATGGTGGTGCATGCCTCTAATCTCAGCTACTCGGGAGGCTGAGGCAGGAGAATCACTTGAACCCAGTAGGCGGAGGCTGCAGTGAGCCAAGATCACGCCACTGCACTCCAGCATGGACGACAGAGAGAGACTCCATCTCCAAAAAAAAAAAAAAAAAAAAAAAATCACGTTATTTTTAAGGACTGAGCTTTGCTCAAGACTTAATTTACCCCACAACCATCTGATGAGGGTACCATACCCATAGTACAGATAAATTTAAAAAGAAATACTGAACAATTTTTCCAAGGAATACTTGGTAAACAAAAACTTCAAGTACAAAACTATATTCATAGCCTACATCCTAACACACCACCGAAAATGTGAAATGTCGCACTCCCAAATCTTAAATTAAGACTACACTGTCTAGTGCAGCAAACCACCATGGCACACGTTTACCTATGTAACAAACCTGCACATCCTGCACATGTACCCTGGAACTTAAAGGAAAAAAAAATACTACTACACTGCAGTGTTTAAAAACTCAGAGAAAAAGTTCTTTAAAATGACAACAACGTATTGTGCACTAATATTGTGTGAAGAAGTGTTTTAGGCACTAATATGGATCATCTATTTAATCCTTACAATAATCATCTAAAGTTGTTATCATGTCTATCATCTAGAGAAGCAAACTGAGGCAGTGAATAGTAAGATGCAGATTCTTTTAGTTACCAATCTAAATGTTAAGAAGAAAAAACATCTAAAATTTTTCTCTGGTATTTCATTTTCAGTACAGTTCAACATACAGCTGTCAGATATTGAGGATACAGTGATGACCAGGACCTAGTCACTGCTTCAAGAAAAGGCTTACATGTAAATAAATAACACACAGTACATTACTATTGACTTAATACATGCAAACTCAGGCTGAGAGAAAGGAGAAAAAAGCATGGTTGGAAACATGGGTAGGGGTTAGGAGCTAAAATACCCCAAAAAACATACTAAAAAGCTTCAAGTTTTTCCAATAAGGAAATAAGGTTTTAAATGAAGGAAACCAATATGGATTAGACTTAATTTTAGAAGGATCACACAAAAACACTATAAAACATGGCTTGGAAGTAGAGTGAAGCTGTAAGCAACAAAACTAACAGAGCCTTAAAAATAAAAAATGGTTTATACCATCAAACTCCCAGTCGTAAACATCTAGGACTTGATTCTTTCTTCACAAAGGAAAATGAATGAAACTGGCAAAACAATACTAATGGTTTAAAGCCTGCTGTAAAAGTTAACTGGTGATGATAACCAAAGAAATGCAAATAAGCAATTTTAAGATACTAACATATGTTAAACCCGCTAAAGTAGCATTAATGTAGTAGTGCCATTGGTACATTCCTTCATTACTGCTGGTAAAAGTTGGTAAAGGGTTTCTGAAAACCAGTATAGCAACATGCAGTGAGAGCCACAATAATGTTCATATTCTTTGACTCAATTCTACTTCTAGAAATTTATCTCAGTGGAATAATTTAAGAAACAAAGATACATGTATAAAGATTTCACTAAAGCATCTGACATAAAAGCAAATGGAAAAATCCAACAACAGAGCAATGTTGAAATAAACCTATACAGCAACAATAAAATATCATTGAGCCTTTTTGTTTTTTTGAGACAGGGTCTTGCTATGTCACCCAGGCTGCAGTGCAGTGGTGCAATCACAGCTCACTGCAGCCTCGAGCTTCTGGGCTCAAGCAATCCTCCTGCCTCAGCCTCCCAAAGTGTTGGGATTACAGATGTGGGCCACCACACCCAGCCTCGTGTAGTTATTTAAAAATAATTGGAAATAATGCATAGAAACTGGGAGGAAATAAATTCTTATGACAAAACAGAATACAAAATAGTGTCACTACAGTTATTAGCTAGTTAAGATACATGCACATGGGAGTTAAGGCACAAAACTGAAAATACCTGAAATATGTAGCATTATGGGTTATTTTAAAGCAAAAAACATTACCTCAGTGGAATAACTTCTGAGGGAAATGTGACATCATTTAGGTAGGATTTTCAAATTGTACTCATATTTGGTTTAGAATCTGGAGCAGTTTCTAAATAGGGTGACTCTAAATGGTTCTCTTGCTACTTCAGTTACTAAAGGGTCCTTGCAGGCTGGGGCTGTTCATTCATACTGGACTTTCCACAGTCCCTACAACAATGCCTCTCCACACTGCAAAAATTCAATAAACAGCTGCTCAACAAACAATTCAAGAGTTCTTTTGGGAGCCACTGGAAGACGTAGGCAGATAAGGAACAAAGACAACAGGAAAAGAGGAAAGAAGACTTTGAAAAAACTAAAAGGAAAAAGGTCAAGAGAAACAGTGTGCCACCTGACCTTCAACATTAATCAAATCTCTCAATCTCTCTCTCTCATGTCTCTGTCTCTCTCTCTCTCTCTCTCTCTCTCGTGTGTGTGTGTGTGTGTGTGTATTTGCATGAACTTCTGAGTCACATGACTCAAAGTTTATGCAAACCTAAAAACGATGCTACAATTTTAAAAAATGCTACAATTACAAGTGAACTGAAGTGACAAAAAGAAGTGGAATGATTTCTAAACCTGTTTTCTCTTCATGTTGCCCTCAAATCATCCGGCCTTGTTCTTTGGCTACTTATATATAAGGTGGGTCAGTTGCTCACCTTATCCCTATCTAGATCAAGATAAGTTTGGGAAATGAGATGGAAGCAGCTCAGAGTATTAAGAAAGTCTCTGAAAGTAGCTGGCATTTGCTTAGAAGTTAGAGGTGCAAAATCAAAGACATCTATACTCTTTAAATAAAGATGATACATCTTCACACAATTCAGTATATAACCAAGGAATATCTTTGAGAATTGGCCATATAATGCCATCTTCTGAGCTTCATGTAAATAAGAATCAAACACAAAGTAAGCTAATGGAGTATAATCTTAAATTTTCAAAGGTATTTCATCCTGCTCAATTAGCATAAAGTTTTAAAAAGAAAACCAAGTCAGATGACCTAGTGTAAAAAAAGTCTTAAGAATTCTTAAAAAAAAAAAAAAATTCTTTATTTCCAAATATGCCCTAAAACAACAGTACTCAAAGTATGATTCAGGGACACCTGGGTCCAAAAACCTTTCAGGGGATCTGTGAAGTCAAAATTATTTGTATAATAGTACTAAGATGTTCCTTGCCCTTTTCTCTTTCATTTCCTCTGACTATATAGTGGAATTTTCCAGAGGCACAAGACATGTGATACCACAACAGACTAAAGGCAGTCTGGTCTGTATGCGAATACAGCTCACCTATTAAACCAAGCATTAAAGAGACTTACAAAAAAATATAAAGCAATGCCACTCTTCTCATTTTTCTATTTTTTTTTTTTTAAGAGGCAAGGTCTCACTATGTTGCACAGGCTGAACCTGAACTCCTGGGTTCAAGTGATTCTCCTGCCTCAGCCTCCTGAGTAGCTGGGACTACCGGCGCCCGCCACCAGGCCCAGCTACTTTTTTGTATTTTTAGTAGAGACGGGGTTTCACCGTGTTAGCAGGATGGTCTCAATCTCTTGAACTCATGATCCGCCCGCCTCAGCCTCCCAAAGTGCTGGGAATACAGGTGTGAGCCACCGCGCCCGGCCTGATTTGACTTTTTAAATTAAACTTGTTTCAATTATCAATTATTTTTTATCTAACATAAAAATAATTTAACTTTTTTGATAGCTCAGGGTAACCACTAGAAACAGCAGTTTTTATACTATGGAGTAGATGAAGTTCAAAGTATGATAAATACACCTGACTTCCCATCTCAGCTAGGGAAAATACAAGATTGCATGCCTTTAACTTGAGGTGCTCTATAACACATCCTAGGCCAGGCAAGCATGTTATGTCCTACACTTGTGCTATGTTTCAGATTTCAGATTTTTTCAAATGTTAAAACATTACTAATTGAGCATCTCTCATCTTAAAGTCCAAAATGTTCCAATGAGCATATCCTTGTGTATCATGTCGGCACTCTTAAGTATCAGATTTTGGAGCACTTCAGATTTTCGGACTAGGGATACTCAACCTGTACTAACTTTCAGTCCAGGTCAGGAAGAAACAGCGGCAGGAATCTTTTGCTTGCCCTTTCCTACCATACCCAAACATTAGTCTCAAGGCCACTGCATTCATCTCCCCTTTAATTTCAGTCTTCTTCCAAAATATTCAGAAGAAAATGTTTACAATGAACCAACTGTTAAAGAGCTGTACATCTCTACAACTGCAATGCTGACTTAAGTTAGGAGAAAGCCCCTCCACCTTCAACTGGTACACAAAACTGTGGCTACTTTACTGAATTAGATTGTATCCATCCTATCAGCTCATGGACAACAATCCAGAAGAGACTTTAAAATGTATTTTAACTATTCTGGCCATGAAAAGTGACCCAATTCTTCACTAATTCCCATCAAAATGAGAACCATGTGTTATACATCCAAAATGCTATAAACCTGAACAACATTTACTAAAATGAGATCTCAGACCTATAGTTTTATCTGCACGCCCACATTGCTCCTAGTAACTGCTGATTTTACAGCTGAGAAAATAAAACTAAGAAACTAAGTTAACGAGGACACACAATGTTGATAAGCACTAGCACTGGGATTTAATCCTTTTTTTTTTTTTTTTTTTTTTTTTTTTTTTTTTTTTTTTTTTTTTTTTGCTTTAGTCCAATGCTCTTTCCAGTAGATCAGAACTGCCTAACTTCATCAAATATTTCCACTCTCAGATGGGCAAGGAGCCAGGGGGAAGGTCAGGTCCCAGTTCCCTAACAAGAATTTCTGGTACACTGCTCAGTGTTTCACAAAACTACATTTTAGTTCCTCTGACATATTCATAATTTTTCAAGAAAAAATATATTCACCTTCAACATTTTTTTGTTTGCAGTGTTCTTGCCACAGTCTCTCCTTAGCTGTTCACTCATTGCTTGCAGCTCTCGTCCAAAGTGGATCATTCTTTCTATGGCGGCCTGACTTCCTCCACACAACTGGCGTCTCAACTGACTTGAATCAACTTCTGTAAGAAAAACAGACAAGTATTTTACTACCTTATGGAATGGAGTATAATGAGGACACGAACATACATTTCTTATACCATTTTGTACATTTAGTAACTATTCCCTAATATTTCATCTAAATATGCAGATTGTTAAAAATTCATTTTTAATATGAAACTGCAGCTAAAAGATATACTTTATTTAGCTCTCAAGAGTCTAGGATCCAGTATTCAGCATGCAGTTGAGAGGGGACAACCTTTCAGTGTTAGAGGGTACTTATGTCAGAAAAAAATTTTAGAAAAAGTATAATTCCCTAAAACTACATTAAGCAACATTTAAAAAAAAAAAAAAAAAAAGGAAAACTGTTAATAATGCCACTCAGGCTGCCTTAACTGACGTAGTAGAGATGTAATAAAATGCTCCTGAAAGCTAAGAAAAGCTAAATGACTACAATAAAAATACAGAAGACAGCATATTATACTAACTGAAAAGATTAAATGCACTACTTTTAGAAAAATACCACTTTGAAAAAATAATTTTTTTTTTTTTTGGATGGAGTCTCACACTCTGTCACCCAAGCTGGAGTGCAGTGGTGTGATCCCAGCTCACTGGAACCTCTGCCTCCCAGGTTCAAGCAATTCTCCTGCCTCAGCCTCCTGAGTAGCTGGGATTACAGGCACGCGCCATCATGCCTGGCTAATTTTTGTATTTTTTAGTAGAAATGGGGTTTCACCATATTGGTCAGGCTGGTCTCAAACTCCTGACCTTGTGATCCGCCCACCTCGGCCTCCCAAAGTGCTGGGATTACAGGCGTGAGCCACCATGCCCAGCTAAGAAAATAGTTTTATATATCTTGATTGATAAAATAATTTAACTGTATAAATTACTTATAAGTCATTAAAAATAAGGTAATGACGATGATGATGGTTAATATTTCCCAAGCACTTTGTGCTATTAGCTTTTTGGATTATTCATTTACTTTCACAATAACTTATGAGGTCGTTATTATACCCATTTTACAGATGAAGAAACTGAGACACAGAGCAGTTAAGTAATTTTTCCAAGGTCACACAGCTAGTAAATGGCAGTTTTGCAGAAATCAAATCTATGTAATCTGGCTCTAGAACTCCTGCTCTTTATCACTGTACTTAAATTACTCTTCAGAAACTGAGGTGGCTGATATTGAAGAGTAAAACAAAGCTGCATTTCTTTTTAAAAAACAATTTTAGTAATACCACTCAATCTCAAAATAATAAGAAATCTAACATTGCCATGGAATTCCAACAAATAAATGAAAAAATGTAATCCAACAAATAAATTTTCACTCTCCATTTGATGGGATAGTTTGCTGATGGGACAGGCAATTTACTACTTAAGTTGTCTACAAAATAAAATTATGCATGCTAATGTGTCTTGGAGCCACATAATTTTTTTGTTGGTGGTGGGGTTTTTTTTTTTGGTGAGGGAGGTCATACTTAAGCACCTACTATATACCAGGGATAGTACTATGCAAAGTCACACACGTTTACGTTAAACTCATTTAAGAAATACTGATTAGAAATTTGTAAAATCATCTAACCATTTGGCCTTACTGACTATACTGACATAAATATAAGAAGTTCTATCATCTCCAACCTAAAATAGCCTAGAGGCTCAACACCAGTAAGTCAGTACTGCTGCATTAGTGACAGCGCTAAACCTGAGCCTAAGCAGTTCAGCAAGAAACACTGCCTGTAGCTGAAAGGTAACTCTACTTTCTCTAGCAGCCCACTCAAACAAGAGTTTAAGTGCTATGCATTACTGTCAAGTCCTACAGCACATACATCTTTAAATCTGGTTTATGCTCATCAGCTGTGAATCAGTACAAGTAAAAACATAACCTTGTAGCCATCATTTTTTATTAAAAATGTAAGAAATATCACTGCAGACCCATTTCGGTGTCACAATCTTCCATTTCGTGGTCATGTTTAGAGCTACCATTTAGGAAACCATTGGATGAAGTTTCTCCAACTCCATTGGAGTAGTGATCTGTTTCCATGTCTACATCATTACTGAAAACGAAAAAACAAACCTAATTTTAGAAATATCATACTTGCAGCTTAGTTTAAAATAAATCACTACTGAACTACATAGCCTACGAATAAACTAATTTCATAAGGCAACAGAAATCTGCAAAAAAGGTATTTAGTTAAATCTTGAACGTATTCAAAGCCAAACATGTCGCTGACTTTTAACAAATTTGTACCCCCGGAGGTAAGGGAGGAAAAAAAGTACATATGCTAAAATGTAGTGGTTTTATGACTTTACATCAATATGGAGAAATCATACTTCCACACAATCCTATTATTTTTCAAATTCAGATCTGTACGTCTTCGTTAATCAACTGCTGCCCCACCAACTCCCCAGCCAGCCCTCTCCCCCTACCCCCAGCACTGATTTCTAGTATGTAAGGGGAAAACCTCACTCTCAAAACAAATACATCTCACTCCTGGAACCCGCTTCACCTCGTTCCGGACCTCATACTCAATCCACTCCTAGGCTGTTTTTAAATAGCATTCTGGCATTTGTCCTCACTACTTAAAAATATACATTCTTTCAAGGGTAACTGATAACTTAAAAAATGATTGAGCTTCATTCTCTCATCCCTTTTCACCACACGACAGAGAGTGAACTCACAGGCTATCTTATTGGCTAAAGTATTGCTGAATCTTAACTTTTAAACTGATGTCCTGGATAGTTTCCAGTTTTCACTCATTCCACTCAATGAATATCTATCTGCCAATAACTATATTTGCACATATTTAAGCTGTCAATGTATGTCCTTCAGAACCATCCGCACTCTTATAAGCAACAATAAATATCTAATCTTTAGGATTTATCCTATGGAAGCCTAGGTAATAATTATACAATCTAGAAGTAAACACTCGATGAAATTTTAGGTAATGCTTAGATAAAAATGACATTTCTCATTACAAAAGCAATATATATTCAATTGTAGAAAAAAAAACACAGATGAGCAAAAACCACTATGCGTAATACCACCAGAGGTAACAAATTCTAACACCTTGGGGGTGTGTGTGTGCATGCATACACTCCTGTTAGTAAAATTGTTAAGGTAAAAAAAAAAAAAACAAGAGATCTAGGGAAAAGGGGGATATGGCCCTACGACTCCAGAGCAGACTTACTCAACCAGGAAAGCTTGTTTATAATCTTAACAAACTTCGAAAATTGGTAAGAAAAACCAAACTTTAAGAATAAGAAAATCCTTACCATCACAGCTTTCAGTGGCTTTTTAAAAAATACTAAACTTTTTTTTTTTTTTTGATAACTCAGTTTAGTATTTGGAAGGAACTCGTTCATTTAACACACATTTAAGAGCCTCTGAGGTATGATCCCTGTTAGGTGCTAAGGATATTATGAAACAGCCTCTGCCTTCCTGTAGCAAACAACCTATAAAAAGCTAATTAAGTTATTATATTACAGAGTAATTATGATCAGTACTATGATGGAAGTTAATCACAAAACATGACATATTTGATGGGATGTAAATCAAGGAAAACATCCTGGAAGAACTGACATCTGAACTTGAATTTTCTCAGCCTGGACAGAAGTTATACTGGAGGTGAGGGAGGGTAGGAAGAAGAGCATTTCAGATGGTGGGCGGTATCAGGGAAAAAGCACAAGTTTGCAAGTCAAATCCTGAAACGCAGCCTCAGCTCTGCAACTTACTAGCTACTAATAATTGACCTTAAGAAAAAAAAGTCATTTACTTTTCTGATATCCCGCTCTACATCTGTAAAATGGTTTAAATAGTTAATACCATCTTTGCCTACTTCACAGTTAGGAAAGCCATTACCAACTACAAAATAACTTATAGCTTAAGGCAGTTCAAAGTTGACTTTCTTTCCCTTTTATACTGCAGACAAAGGAGGATGTTGTGTCATCAGACCCTTCCGTTAAGCTTGCTTCCCTGAACTCAGGTAATAATAGATCTGTTTAGCAACTTCCTGCTGTAGGGATAGTATTCAAGAGAAAAACTCACAAACTGACTGCAATCTTACCCTCAAACATTGGCAAGAGCCTTGATCAATGATAAAGTACCAATGCATTTAGTATAAAGCATGATGAAGTACTTAACTTTTTACATTTCCATCTATTTTTAAACTATAATATTTTGATTTTATATTTTCCAATATATCACCTCTGCTGTGAAAGACGATTTTTCTGCTCTTCTCATACACTTTTGTGGTTCTCCATTACAACTTATATCAATCACACACACTATTACTTCAGTAAATTTTTGTCACGTGTGACAGACAACCCAGAAATTGAGATTAATCTCCCAATTTTCAAATACAGATTTTTTTTTACATACAATCCTTTCTGCAAAATCATATTTCCATTAAGATTCCATGCTAAAAGTTAGGCTCTCTCTCCTTTAATAAGAAAATGTGGCACTGATGACCATTTCCTGAAAATGCAATGTAACCAACTGGTTTGTTATAGACCAAACCAATATTAAATTGACCCAGTCCTGGATGATTTGGGCAGGGTGAATTCACAATAATTTGCTACTGCACAGTAGTATTTAATTCAAATAATGTCACTTCATGAACTTTTAGGTTTCATAAATATTAAACCTGAGTATATCAAGGGTCATAGTACACTGACTGAGATATCATCTTTCAAACCTCTTCAAAGTGAGACACCCTACCTAGCAGAATGTTTGGTGCCCAACAAATCCTCAAAACCATCCTCACACCAATGTTTACTAAATGACTTAACCATCTGCTATATGCAAGCTACTTAAAGGCAGGCTTTCAAAAAAGATTATTTGTAAAGTTAGTTTTGAACTTGGAAAACATTCTACACATTTACACCAAAAAAAACTCACACACAGAGAAAAAATCAGTTGTAAATTTATCTTATGTCACCGTTCAAGGTTAAATATGCTACTGTGTCTTAACCACTGTGAAAACATAACAAATGGCATTTATGTGATCATTTGTATAGCTCTGTGGCTGGCAGGAAGACAATGCATGAAGCCCTGAATTTGTCCTTATAACTTTACTAGAGGGAAGAAGGTAGTAGAGAAGAGGAAGAAACTAAGGAAAGAGCTCATGTGCATAATAGGAGACTAAAAAGCTTTGGGGAACTGACTCCCTACGCTTTTATTCTCTGGGGGCTTAAGAACTCCCAGAGCCCCTCTGTGGGTCACATAATTCAAGTTCTTTCAAAATTATTACAACGATTACACCTATAACTAGGTTGCTTATATTAGTGCAAAAGTCAGTGAAATTACTTACCTGGTGAAGTTATTAACTTGCTGTGATCTTGACATATTTATACTGTTTAGTTCTGGTACATTCAAGTTGGATGACTGGTGTTTATTACTATGGCAATATGATTGATGTGCTTTATTTGATATTACACCATTACTACAACTTTCAAAACCTGAAGAAAAAGATACCACGTAGAAACAGAAACAAACACTAATTTATTAATACGGTTGTAAACAAGTCTCCATGTTGATTTTGTACTAAGACTTCTAGAACGTAGGAGAGTCAATGGATGATGTAAACAGGTAACTTCTTTGAAAGGATACTAAGAATACTTAATTGTGAGATCTTAATTATTACCTCATCTAACATTTATTGAAGGCTTAATTACACATCTCATTTAATCCTCAAAATCCCCCTAAAATGGCAATATTATGATCATCCCCATTTTACATATGAATACACTGAGGCTCAGAATTTATCCAAGCCTGAAGTGACTGTATGATATTCAAGAGGAGTAGTGGCTAAGAACAGACATGGGAATCACACTTGTTGTACAGAGTGGTGATGTAAATAAACTGAGAGGAAGTAATGCAGAAAAGAGAATAAATTGAAATAAGAAAAAGCAATGGTGTTACTTCATGAAAGGAAAGGAGACACTATCTGACTTGTTTAAGAATGTTAAATGTACAAAGATAACATCTTGGGAAATGCAGAATTAAAGAGATGGGCAAACAGAAGACTGAGAAGCATCAGAAATAAATCTGTGGCTGGGCACGGTAGCTCACACCTGTAAGCCCAGCACTTTGGGAGGCTGAGGCAGGAGCAGTGCTTGAGGCCAGGAGTTTGAGACCAGCATCAGAAACATTGCGAGACTCCAACTCTTTAAAAAGAAACAAAAACAAAACCAAAAAAACCTGTAGAAGTGATGTCACAAAAGCCAAGAAAGGAGAGAATTTTAATTAAGAGAAAGCCCAAAGTCACAGAGAGTAAGACTGGTGAGCCAACAAACGGATGGGAGAAAACGAACTAGGCAGAGCTGACTTTTGCAAGAGGCTTGGTTGGGAAAGGTTGGGGGTGGGGGGAGAGGAGGGAGGCAGCGGCAGCCCAGCTAGATGTGGTAACCAGTGGCATAAGGTATCACAGCCACATCACCTTTAAATTTATATTTTATTAAAACACACAATTACCTTTTCACTATTAAAAATCAATAATTTAATTCTGGTGACTACTCATTGTGAATGCTGACTTTCATTTAGGAAGGTCTGCTAATAACCTATTCTCAGACAGCTGTTCTTCAAGTGACTTCCTGGTACTGAGAACATGTCAATCTGAACCTACAATTTTTCACCCAGAAAAATCTTAAGTATACACATTTGAAAACAGCTACAAAGGAAATATACAGATTTTCTGAGACAAATGGAGTGTCCCTCTGTCACCCAGGCTGGAGTGCAGTGACGTGATCTCAGCTCACTGCAACCTCTGCCTCCAGGATTCAAGCAATTCTCCTGCCTCAGCCTCCCGAGTAGCTGGGACTACAGGCACCTGCCACCATGCCCAGCTGATTTTTGTATTTTTAGTAGAGATGGGGTTATCACCATGTTGGCCAGGCTGGTCTCGAACTCCTGACCTCGTGATCCGCCCACCCTGGCCTCCCAAAGTGCTGGGATTACAAGCGTGAGCCACCGTGCCCAGCTGGAAATATACAGATTTTCAAAAGGAAAAAGGTTTAAGATTATAAAGAGGAAAAATCTAAAAATAATGTCATAAGTTAAATCTCACCTGAAAAATGTGCGGTGCTTCCTTTGCCTGATGCTAAATTGTGGATATTCATTCCATGGCTGGGGCTCATACTTGGACTACTAAAAGGTCGAGGACTAACAGGATAACTGTCTTGAGACTTTGGACTTCGGCCTCCCAAACATCGTACTTCACTATCTGTACCATTCACCATTTCTATAAACTGACGCACTCTAAAGGAGAAAAGAAAAATTTACTTAGACACAATCTTCAAATGGCCTTTTATTTAATAGCAACAGATTTCTAAAAATATTTTTAAAACTTTGATTTATCAGTAGGATTGGTCTTTAGTAAGCTAAAAATATTAAATATGGTGTCCTATGCTTTAATGCTTAGAATTTTAGAATTTCCAGAAAAATGAGAGTACAATGTAATAGACACTATAATAATATTACCCCCTTTAATCAGGATTTACCAAATGGAAATTTACCTATAAGAAGATATGAACCCCATTTTTTTGGCTACAAGTAATTTAATCAAAATAACATTTGCGCTTGGTAGCAAATCAAATTGTGCCTAAGGACATGATTTTATGTATATGAGATACATATAAAGCGTAGCCTTTCTCCCCACCCGTCCCATTCCCAACCTCTTAACCAAAATGGGCCTCATTTAAAATTCTTATTCTAAAGCAAAACAATTCTGTCATTTGACTTACAAAGGATATCTGTTGCTTAACAAGTTGAAATCTGAAGCTCAGTAACATCTCATTTTTTAAGTAACAAAGATTCATAAAACCAATTAAAATTGTCAAATCAGGATGGCTATTATTAAAAAAAAATAGTTAAACATAGAATTACCATATGATCCAGAAAGTTCACTTCTGGGTATATAACCAAAAAAATCTAATGCAGGGACTCAGATATTTGTACACCTATGTTCACAGCAGAATTATTCATAACAGCCAAGAGGTAGAAGCAAACTTTAAGTGTCCATCAGTGGATGAATGGATAAACAAAATGCAGTATTATCCAAACAATGGAGTAAAATTCAGCCTTTAAAAGGAAGAAAATTCTGATACATACTACAATAAAGATGAACCTTAAGGCTATTACACTAAAATAAGCCAGTAATGAAGAATAAATACTCTGATTCTACTTATATGGGTAGTCAAATTCATAGAGGCAAAATGTAGAATGGTGGTTTCCAGGGGCTAGGGGGATGAATGGATGGTTAGTGTTTAATAGAGAGTTTCAGTTTGGGAAGATGGAGAAGTTCTGGAGTCGGATGGTGGTGATGGTTGCACAATGATGTGAATGTAAAAAATGGTAAATTTTATGTATATTTTACCACAATTTTTTAAAATGCCAGAGAGATTAAATGTAAGGTACTTCTGAGAAGGAAAAATAGACACCCATCTTCTAAATAAGATTTTCACATTTTTAAACACATAAATAGAATAATAAAAGCAAATACATAGCAAAAGACACCTTCTGCTTATGGTCCTTAACACAAAAGTATTTTTCATAACATGTTGCTTAAATGACATTACAAAATTGTATATACTTGAAAAACGAAAAAAACTAAAATTACAAAAGCACGAAAATGTCTTTTATTACATAACTTGACAAATATTTATAATATATAACAAATATAGCATTTTATTATGCAAACTCACTTTAATGTGAAAAGGAGATTAGGATTTCTTTCAAGTAAACTTGGGTATAACTGTTGTGTTGTTTCAATGGCTTCTCCCATTCTTCCTGCTAATACCAATTTCTGAATTCCTATTCAGTAAAAGAAAGCAAACGATTAACTTTTACAAAAGTAGATAAAACATAAACTTAGTGACCTCAGAAAAGAAAGTTAGTAAGAAATCTTTAAATAAATTATGATTAATTTCAATTTCTTTCTCTAACATCATAGTTTCCATTAGGCAATCCAGGAAACATTTCAGACATACTAGAAAATTAGAAAAACAAGTACGGTCACAAATTTTTTTTTTAAAATCACGAACATACGAGTAATATAGTTAAAATACCTATTATGCAATATTGAAGTTTCAAACACTGAGATTAAAAAGACTGTTTTAAAGGGATACTAAAATGCCTTATCAAACATAATCTTCTGAACAAAGGACTGAAAAATGCTAGCTTTTGACTAAGATTCCAATTTAACAGAGACTCGTTGAGCATTCACTTGATCTGTTATATGTTAAATTAGATGATAAGGATACAAAATGAGTAAGTGATCTCTGTTCAACAGAGCTTATTAAAATAGTAGAAAAGGACAGCACACAATTAACTACAACCCAATGTAATCAGTGCTATTACAGCAATTTGACCTATGAAATAGTTGTTTTCACCCATTAATTTCACCCATCTATTTTGTTTTCATCTCTATACTCTTGTCAAGTCATACCCACCCTGATGGACAAACAGCACCAATTTTAGGATGGCTAACTATGGACCAGTTATGCTGACTTGCCATTGTTATACAGGACCTGTTTTATCTCTGGCCACAGAGGCCAGCACTAGGATCTAAATAATAAATACTTATGGATCAATACTGTATTAGCCATTTAAATTCAAAGATATTTACATTTCTTTCACATACTATCTCCTCCAACTAATCAGGACTACTTTATTATTATTTTTAAATCTTTTTATTAAATGTTTATTTCCTGAAAGCTTAAGAAAACATTTAAGAAAAAAATGGTAAAGACATTCCTTCAAAAAACTTCTGTAAAATCTCTCTAGAATTAGAATTCTGACATAGTCCTATGTGAATTTTTAAACTGATCTTCAAAAATGTCAGTGAAAATAAAATTCAGAGGCATCCATTTTAAATTAATATATTTGAAATTTTTTTAATTAAAAAAACAAAATTTCTAAAAATTAAAGTAACCAAATCTATAATCTGAAAACAAATGTTAGCCATGCACCACAGTGTCCTTACTTTGTCTATTCTTAATGGAAGCTAATTCTTCTAGAACGGTCTGGTCTGTAGATCTGGCAAAGGCCTCTGCTGTGGCACAGTACCCATGGTGGACTAAATAAGATGAAACCATTCTTAAAATAAAAAGAAGAAACATACATCTTTTAGTGAAGAGAATACATGCTTCATACTACAATTTATATAAACAAAATCTATTCTGGTGTTATAAAAACGAACCTATTTCCTTGAAACAAGGCGTTAAGAACCTCACCTTTAAAGTAAGCTTTTGAAAAACATCATTTTGTTCTATTCATGTACTATTTTCGAAAAGATAACTGCAAATGCTATGTTGAGACTACTCTCCCTAAAATAAATATTACTTGAGAATCAAGGACATTAAATGACCTTTTCTTTGATTCTTGGACTCTCATTACCCCCAGGTCCCTTCCTATCTTATTATTCAGCCCTACTAACCATAATTTCTATTTTGACTTTATCATATGACTTATTCCAGTATTGCTGGCATTCTGTAAAATAACCAACTTTAAAATAAAAGATTAACTCTTAATGTTCCAGAGTTCAACCATCTTCTTTACACACCGGTTAAATGAAGTGGGATCACAAAGTATGTACAGAATACTAAGGTGAATCCAGAGAGACAATCTTCCAGAACATGTCTATAAGTGTACTACTAATTAAAGGAGGAATCAGCCTTCTAATCTAAATCAATTACTATGGTTTTACCCAAGAGATTTATCAAATATGGTTTACATGTAAGTGACACATTTCCAAGACAATAATCTTTTAAAAACGTACCAGGTAGTCAAAACATATACTTACATCTACCCACAAGATGTGGTTAGAAAAACTGGTGATGCAACAATATTAACCCAAATATCTGTTATCTCCAAACAGTCAATTTTTAAACTTGCCTCCACCTGACACTACTAAGGGCCAGTTAGAAAATCGTGGGAAGCAGTGGTTCACCACAGGAGGAGACTGAGGCAAAGAGCGGAGGGAGAAAAGGGAGGAAAATGTCTAAGAAACAGATCTGCATCTTATTTTACCCAATTGTTCAAATTAATTTAAGGGGGAGGGGACCTTTTAGAATGGACTTCTCAAGAGTTCATGGTGAACATCAAGTCAGTGAAGAAGTGGGTGGAAGGATCCTGGTTATAAGGTTAAGATAAATGTTTTCTACTATCTTGCCATGATACTCAGTGGTAACCATTTTCAGAGCATTAAAACAGTGTGGCCCCAGAACAACCCATTCTAGCTTCACTTCGTGGTGACTATAGGATTCTGCATCAGGGTTGTCTATTCTCAACTGGGCTGGACAAAAAAACTAGTGTCCAATCTCTGTAATACAGATGATAATAGCTCCAGGGACGAAGTGTGATTTCAGAGTCATCATCATGTCTCCCAATCACTTCCTTTTCTAAAAAATACCCCCAACATTTTATTACAATTTTAAAGTTAAGAATATTCAAAGCAATTATAAGGACATTAAAGATGAAATGTGTTGGACCAACTGTATCTGAAAGTCTGCTATTTTCTTGACCTGGATTATAATAGTGAAGAGGACTTTTTAAATTTAATGGTATTTATTTAAATTTTAAGTCCATACTTAACTACTGCTGATAGTTCAGATATTAAGAGCTTGGACATAGCCAAGTTCATGACCAAAAACCACAGATCCTGATTATAAGATCTAGATTATCTCTCAACTTTATCTTTTCCATTAACATTATTAAAAGTTAAATTGTATAACCTACAGAAATCATTAAATCCTATTACTAAGAATAGCAAATGAATTAACCTAGCCTAGGTGACCTAACATCATTTTATTTCCTTCATCAAATTAATTCAGACTGAAATACAATTCTGTACGTGTGTCAAACAATTGTTTTTAATTTGTTTAAATAGTGGAGTAAATTACTTTTCGTTGAGAGATTAAAATCAATAATATAATAGATATGTCAGTATATAAATTAGTGGATTAAAAAGCTTCTGTGGATACCAACAGAATAAATGTCTTATAAAAAACAGATTCTGAATAGCATCAATTGAAATTTCTTCACTCTTACTTTTGTATCATGGTCTGCCATTCTCCTTCTCGATCTCCGATAGGAAATCGATCTATCTGTGCCTGGATTTTGGTTCTCCACTCCCGCATATAGTCTTCTATATCAAACACGAAAGGATGTTGCCCAAAATTGGCATCGACCACTTCTCCTGGTGTTTGAAGCCCCACAGTAGGATACAAATTTGGCTGTAAGATAGCATATTTCATTAAACATCTATCCATTTTATGTTAGATTTAATAATTCTTTTAATGTTACATTTAAAAGAATAGAACTATAAATTTACTTCATATTTTAAAATCCCAATCAAAATATTAGAAGGCTAAAACAAATGATCTAAAATACATTATATGTTAGATGAAAAAATATCACTTCCTGCAATGTAATCATCAAGAAAAAACAAAGAGACCCAAGATCTCTGTTTTATTTATTCAGGGACTACGTTGTATTATACCACGTGGTATTATGCTACTAATATATGTGCATGTAATTCTTGTTCTAAGATTATGTCATATAGTAGTTACAGAAATTCAACTATAAACACATAACTCAGGTTTATCCCACATTTTATATATGATACATTTCTATAAACTGCATGTTAAAGCTAGTTATCATAAAAGTATGATCTCAGCTAGTCTGGCATTTAATAGCTTAAATTTACTGTTTTCATTCTGTATATTTGGGATGCCTAACTTTACAAAGGGAAGGGGATAAGACCATAACTATAAGCAAAACACAGTGCCAGGAAGAGTGGAGATTCTCTATATTAAAAAAAAAACACAAAACCTCAAATATATGTATTTCAAGGGAGGAAAAGGATGAATCTGAATATACCCAAACTCAGAAATGCATTCAGGTACACTCCATGGTTTCAAGGTTAATCAAGATGAAAAGGTGATAACTTCAAGTAAACAAAAAATACAGGGGTCATTCTTTTGGCTATGTCACTAATTGGTTGTTACATCTAAAGGCAGAATGAGTTTCTGAGTGGCTACTAAATGCCAGGGTTTAATCATAATTCTGTGAGGCCACTATTATTATTTCTACTTCAAAGACAGAGAAAATGAGGATTCAAGGTTAAATAACTTGCTCATGGTCGTTCTGCTAACAAATGGCAGAGATGGAATTGGAACACAAGTTTGTCTGATACCACATCCAAAACTGATTTTTCCTCTTGCAACTCCAAATCCTACCATATTTTCATTTTCTGTATTTATGTCTTATATCTTTAATAGTTATAACAAGTATTTTTCAGTACAAAACAAGGTAAAGATCAAGAGCGGATAATTTCTGTGTGAATATGTTAAATAGATTTCACAGTAAAATGCAAAGAGGGTGTGTTTAAAAACAACCGTTCAATCAAGCAGAACAAATCAGAAACAAAATATTACATCAAAATATCAAAAATATAAAGTACTACTGGATTATGGAAATAAATGGTTAAAGCAAAGTATGCAAATGTATTGATTCTTAATAATCAACAGAGCTAACAAGTTTATAAACTTTTAAGCCAAAAACAGGTGAGATAGTACAGCCTTCCCATTTCACCAATGAGAAAACTGAGACCTAAAGACTTTATAGAAACAGGCCAGGCATGGTGGCTCACGCCTGTAATCCCAGCACTTTGGGAGGCTGGGGCAGGTAGATCACCTCAGGTCAGGAGTACAAGACCAGCCTGACCAACATGGTGAAACCCCGCCTCTACTAAAAATACAAAATTAGCTGGGTGTGGTGGCGCATGCCTGTAATCCCAGCTACTCGGGAGGCTGAGGAAGGATAATCGCTTGAACCGGGGATGGGGAGGTTCTGGTGAGCCGAGATTGTGCCACTGCATTCCAGCCTGGGCAACAAGAGTGAAACTCTGTCTTAAAAACACAAAAACAGAAACAAAACAAAACAAAAAAACAGAAAAAACACTACAGAGTTATGAGATACTTTAACACAAAAGCATATAAGCCAAACACAATTGAGTGAAAGACAATTCTGTTCATTAAGCAGTTTATAATGATGATATTCAGTATTGTCTAAATAAAGACATTTTTAAAATGACTGCTCATCTAAATTTTCTTACAAATTCAGAAAAAATAATTCTATCAACACTATCAAAGACAATCAACATTCATGAATTCTCTGATAAAACTATTTCATAAAAATTTAAAACTTCCCTATGACAAAACATGCCACAAATGGCAAAGACAAATGACTCTCTAGAAAAAAAAATCTGCCACACATATGGCAAAATGTGTTTTACAAATACAGAAAAAATTCAGGAGGACAAAGACTACCAGTTCAAATTCTTAAAAAAGGCAATGAATATGTAGGCAATTTGTAGAAGAAATAAAAATGACAACACATAAAGAGAAGCTTAATCACACTCAACTTTTTAGATGAACATTTTTAATGCGCACTTAAAAATAAAATCAATTAAAAGTTCAAGATTTAAAAACTTTTGCACATCAGATTAAGACTTGAAAGGCTGAGAATACCCAATGCTGATAAGGGTTGGGGAAATAACCCTTTCATCTACTGTACACAGAAATGTAAACTGACATAATCTTTTAACAAAGAAATCTGGAAAAATCTATTAAAATTGACCAAGTAATTTCACTTGGAAGAGTGTATTCCTACAAAAATAAGTATGTGCAAAGATATGTCTTGTAGCATTATTTGTAACACAAACAAAATTTTAAAATATTCACAGATATGTGATATTATACCATATTCATCAAGTCTCAAAATCTAATAGTAACAAACATCACTATTTTGTGTCTAGGAAAACATAATGCAAATTAAACTCTGACCAGTCATTGATTCTACAGTGCATTCTCATTTCAGAAATACTAAAATATGAAAAAAATGTACATTTTATAATTGATCAATTGTGGTAGTAAGTTAATAAGATAACATAAAGCAGGCAAAAAGAACAGAATGAAAAATGTATATATGGACACAGAAAGATGTCCTATACACACTAAAGCAAGGTATAACATATTGTATATGGTATGACCCTATCTTTCACATAAACATTCAAAAAATGAACATACTGGCTTATATGTGTTTAGAAAGAAGTCTAAAAGGATATATATTCAAGTTAAAACAAACATTATAGCCAAAGAGACTGGGATTATGAAGAACTTCTCTTTTGTACATTTCTGTATATATAAACATTTCTCATTTAAGTATTTAATACTATACATTACTTCTGTAATCTGATATTGATTAAAAAAACTTTTAGTAATATTAAGTCAGTTTTGGCTCACTGAAAAGTAAGTATAATTGTTATACCATTTACTCAACCTTAAAACTGGAGAATTGGGAGAAGAGGATTAAGGACATAGTCCTTAACTTGCTATATTACAGATTTTAAAAAACAACGGCCTTCAATGTTTTTTAGTATGTTCACAGAACTGTGCAACTACTGTAATTTAATTGTGTAACAATCCCATCACCCCAGAGAGAAACTCAGTACCCATCAGCAGCCACTTCCCATTTCCCCGTTCCCCCTGGCAACCACTAATCTACTTTCTAACTCTATGGATCTGCCCATTCTGGACATTTTGCATAAATGGAACAACAAAATATGTGATCTTATATGACTGGTTTTTTTTTTTTTTTTTTTTTTTTTTGAGACGGAGTCTCACTCTGCCGCCCAGGCTGAAGTGCAGTGGCATAATCTCGGTTCACTGCAACCTCTAACTCCCAAGTTCAAGCAATTCTCCTGCCTCAGCCTCCCGAGTATGGGACTACAGCCACATGCCACCACTCCTGGCTAATTTTTGTATTTTTAGTAGAGACGGGGTTTCACCATGTTGGCCAGGATAGTCTTGATCTCTTGATCCGCCCGCCTTGGCCTCCCAAAGTGCTAGAATTACAGGCGTGAGCCACCGCACCCAGATGGCTGGCTTCTTTTATTTAGCATGTTTTCAAGGTTCATCCATGCAGCAGGTGCATTGTCACTGTAGATTTATATGTAATAATGTCTTCTAGAAAAATACTCCTGCCCATGTAGAATAGTATATAGACAGAATAGGTTCTTTATGAAAAGAATAGGAAAACATTTCTATTAACTTGCAAAACATACTTTCAATCTAGAAATTGCTTAAAAGCTAAATGTACACAATATAAATTTATATTCTCAATAGCACAGCTTTGGTCTACATTCGATCTCTTTTAATAAAAATGACTATACAAATAATGTATCCACAAAAAGTAGATTTCAAGTCAGTGCCCAGAATTCGAAAACAGCATCATTTAAAATGAGAACAGCTACTGTAACAAAAGCCTTTAAAAAGCAACAGCCTTCAATGTTTTTTAGTATGTTCACAGAACTGTGCAACTATCATAATTTAATTGTATAATTAAATCCCAAACTGAATTAGTTATACTTAATGTCATTTCTCAAACTGGTGAGGTAAGCTGAGGAAAAAAGACTATTTTGAAAAAAATCTAAGGTTTTCAAAGCTGTATAAACACTTATATTCCATAACAGGTGCAGAACAATCTAGGTAAACTGGTTTTTCTGCAAATATACTTTCTCTCAGGATTCAATGGTATGGGTAGCTTGTGAGAGATCACAGGTATAGAAGATATAAACACTTCCTTGATGCTTCCTTTAAAAGGAAGAATTGATATGAAGCCTATGGAAGTCCCAGAAGATTTACAGTATTAAAAATGAAAAATACTACACTAAAAGGAAACCTAAAACCACCACTGTACCCATTGTTACAACAAAGTTGCACATGATCATTGGCTACCTGAGGGAAAAAACATAACTGGTGATTCAAAAGTGGGAGAGAAAATAAACAACATGTCTACAAGCAACCAAGCTTTTTCCAAATGATCTCCGCTATCTATGAACAAGAAAACGAAAGCTAACAACAACAAAAGCTCACGCTGACTAGTTGCTTAGTGCCACAACAGAAAAAAAAAAAAAAAAAAAAGTCACTAAACTCTTTAACCAACTCCAAATGAAACTTACAGCATTCTCACCAGTCTCTTAACTGTTAAAGACCAAATCAACCCACTAACCAGAATCTGCACCTACACACTCTGCCTGTCCCCACAATGCTCTTCTCAAAAGCCCATCCCCTCAATTACACATCTGTCTACCTCTTTCTATGCGACACCGACATTTTCATCAGCATACTCAATCTCCTAACTTAATTTTTTTTTCTACTGCCCCCACTTCCACCACTGGCTACTACTCCATTTCTTTACTCCTCACCATGGCCAAAGTCCTCCAGAGTTATCCACTGCCTATAACTCACCTATTCCTAAAATCCATTCCAATCAGGATGTCTCCATCCCACAGCTGAAACTTTCTTGTCCAGGTCACCAACGACCTCTACTCTGCTAAGTACAATTGTCAATTCTCAGACCTTATGTAATTTTCAGATCCAATCCATTAGCCAATTCTCTTGGTTTTCAGTTGGATTTTTAAAAGAATCATATTTTTGTTACTATTATTTTGGGATTTTTAAAAATTTAACTCTTTAATCCATCTAGAACTTACTTTACACTTTGTCCTAACAATATGTATTTTAAAAAAATAAATAATAAAGACTCATTCCATCACTATTTACTAAATAATGCGGCAGGGTTTTTTGTTGTTGTTGTGTTTTTTTGTTTTTTTTTTTTTTAGTAGAGGTGAGATCTCATTATATTGCCCAAAGTGGTGTTGAACTCCTGGCCTCAAGCAGTCCTCCCACCTCAGACACCCAGAGCCAAATAATGCTTCTTGAAGAGTACTTTTGATCGGTAGGGTTCAAATATTCCTTGGCTTAAAATTATTTTCTATTATAATTTTGATTTCTGTTTTTTCCTAGCATTTTATTAAGGGATATAAATAGTCTATAGATTTGGTATCTATTCTCTACCTCTGAATCTTCCATCATCTCTTTCAAAACATCTCTGAAAACTGGAATGCATTTTATAATTGATGACACCTTACTATGGTCAGGCAGCTGTCATGACACAGCTGTCAATGCCTGCACAGGAGCGATTTGTTAAAGAATGAGCTCACTGAAAAACTCTTGGGACTGAGTTGCTTTTCCTGATGAAATTTTCATTTTCGTGATATTGGTTAACATCATGAAAGTGACAGTATCAAACGTGCACGATGTAATCAGCAGCTTGGAGATTAATCCCAGAGACATAATAAGAGTAATCTTAAAAAATGTTCTTGATGACGGAGAAGACAGTATCACATAGAAAATCATGGGCATCAGCCTCGGCAACCTGGCGAAACCCCGTCTCTACCAAAAATACAAAAAATCAGTCGGGCATGCTGGCGTGCACCTGTGGTCCCAGCTACTTGGGAGTCTGAGGTAGGAGGATCCCTTGAGCCTGGGAAGCAGAGGTTGCAGTGAGCCAAGATCACACCACTGCACTCCAACCTGGGTGACAGAGTGAGATCAAAGAAAATCATGGCATCCAGTCTTTAAAAAACTGATTTAAAAGGTTAGACTCTGAACATGAAATTTTAGGAATACCTTAATCAATTTATATTGCTTATCTCATCCTTTTTAGGTGTGCAACACCTAAAAAGAGACACATATTAAAATCTAAGTTTAAATAACCCTAAGAGATCATTCAGTGAGTATAAAATAAAAATGCTAAGTGATAAGGGAGGCATTATGTCACAGTTTGTTAGTTTTTTTCCCCCTTGGTGTCACAGATGATGCAGATTACAACTGACAGTGCCTTGGGTTTGGTAAATAAGATACGTGGAATCAAACCTCTACCGAAGAGAGTTACTGTAACCCCTTGCTTGAATTTCTGCAATAGTCTTCTCACAGGTCCCCTTGCTTCTACCCTTACTCCCATATAGTTTTTTGTTGTTGTTGTTGTTTTGTTTTTTTGTTTTTTTTTTGAGACAGAGGCTTGCTCTGTCACCCAGGCTGGAGTGCAGTGGCACAATCTTGGCTCACTGCAAGCTCCGCCTCCTGGGTTCACGCCATTCTCCTGCCTCAGCCTCCTGAGTAGCTGGGACTACAGGCGCCCACCACCACGCCCAGCTAATTTTTTGTATTTTTTTTTTTAGTAGAGACGGGGGTTCACCGTGTTGGCCAGGATGGTCTCGATCTCCTGACCTCGTGATCCGCCCACCTCGGCCTCCCTAAGTGCTGGGATTACAGGTGTGAGCCACCATGCCCGGCCTAGTCTACTTTTCAACTAAGCAATCACAGTGATCCCATAAAAACTGAAGTCCTATCATGACAAATAAAAGTCCACAATGTCTTTGTATTTCACTCAGAGTAAATTTCCAAGCCCTCCCAATGGCTTGCCCAGGTCTAGATGATCTATTAATAGCTTACCCCCAACCCCATTATTATCTCTGATCATCTGCTACTACATATGCTCTGCCCTCCTCACTCCTCTCTACCACACTTCACACTCTTCTTCAAACAAGCCATCTGTGCTCCTGCCTGAGCACCTTTTCTCTAACCTCCCTCTGCCTGAAAACTCTTGCTCTACATATCCACTTGGCAGACTCCCTCACTCCTCCAAAAGCTTCAGCTCAAGTCTCACCTTGAGCAAAGGGGAGCAACTTGTACAACCTTGTGTCCTACCGTTGGTATTCCCATTCTCTGTTTTTTCCCTTTCTTTCCAAAGTATACTTAACACCCTTAAAATATGTTCTACTTTACTTGTTTTTCATGTACTGCTCATTCTCTTTCACAGCTTGAATACTATAAAGTCCAAGAGGGCAGAGACCTTTACTACCTGTTGAATAATATATTCCAAGCACTTTACCTGCCACATAGTAGGCCTCTATATAGCTTGGATGAATAAACGATTATAACTGCTATACAGCCTTCTGCTGAAAAGTCCAAGGAAATACATTTCAAATGAATGAATGGTGACATTTAAAAAGACACTTGAGAATCAATTCTGATTTATTTTCCTTTATACAATGAATCCAGTGCAAGTTGGAGCTTAATTTCTGAGGGTCTACACCCAAGGTGGTTAGAGAAAAGATCTCTTTCTTTGCATGTCATATAAACCTAATAAATATCAATAAGACTGTATTTTAAACTTTCTAAATATGCCCAGTATCAGTTTCTTTATACTTCCTGTAATTAAAAATGGAAAACTGCTTTTAAAAAAAGTCTTACCGGTAGGTCAGTGAAAGCAATACCTAAAAAGAAAAAAAAAAGTGGCATTAGAAGCTGTTTTTCAAAGCAGACTATACTGACAAGCTGAATTTCTAACTAAAAGGAGGAAACAAATGGCAAAAGAAAAAAACATTAAAGCCTAAATAAAAAATAACAAGACTAATTTTTAATCAATAATACTAACATATGTCTGAGTGAACAAACGCTGTCCCCTTTCAAGATAATCAGCCTTGCTAGTCATACACAAATTTTATTTCTGAGATGCTGCCATTGTCTCCAGGATTTTTGAAATACTTTTAGATATATCTTCAAAGCTACATTAGAAAACACATTAAGAAAGTTGGTTGCAAAATAGTCAGTTTATTTTTTAACCCCA
Organism: Homo sapiens; assembly: GCF_000001405.40. NCBI lineage: Eukaryota > Metazoa > Chordata > Mammalia > Primates > Hominidae > Homo > Homo sapiens. The sequence continues at coordinate 13,653,035 of NC_000006.12, forward strand.
AGTTGCAATTTGTACCCTCACCGTTTAATAATCATCATCTAGATTTAGCTTTTAAATAATTTTAGCTGGAAAGAAAAGAGTTTTTCTGTTATAAAAGGCAAACAAGGGAAAATACAGTATATTTTTGCTTCTTTAAAAAATGTTTCTTATGAAAGTAAATTCTTTAACTTATGATTTACTCGTGGGAAAAATCAATTCCTCCTTCAAAGGATGAACGATTTTGCACAGTTTAGAATTTCTCTTGAATACCTTTTGACAGTAATTACAACAGTCATGTTCTAGATACAACTTGAGCAATGGCAATATCATTGGAATAAGTCTACTGTCAACTCAACGTGACAATTTAACGACCTCCTTTAAATATTCCAATATACAACTTAGCTGAAAATAATAAAGTATTTCTGTAGATATATTTTTAAAGATTTAGCTCTAGAATAATGGGAGAGCAGTATTGGTGAGTCAGTCAGCTGATCTCAATTCTTCCAGTCTAAAACAAACATTAAAACCAAGCCAGCACCACTGCTTCTACAGTCTTGATCACTATCTTAAAACTGAGGGAATTTCCATTAAATTGTTTTTAAGGTCTCTTCCTACTTGACATTTTATTCCTCTATGACTGTGCTGTAATAACAGAAAACATCTAACTCTATTTATTAATAAAGTTAAAAGACAAACTGAAAATAAATTTTATACTTTTAAAATAATGTGTAAAATTAATGCTTTTGTAGTTAGTAAAGCCCTGTTTTTATGATTTTTAAAAACTAGTAAATTCATGGTGGCTTGTTAAAAGGAAAGCAAAGTTAGGGTTCCTGTTTTCCCCACGTAAAACATTATCATTACATTTAACTTCATTAATAACACAGAAAGCAAGTACTATCAGCCCAAATAAAAAACTTTCCCAAAAATTTCACAAAAGTAAAAAGAATACAGAAAGCAAGAGAATATTTTAATATACTATAAACTATACATATTTCTAATATTTTTCATAAAATAATTTTTCTCAAAGATGTCTAGTTATAATCAACACTGTATATTCTATCTTTAGCAAAAATCCTTTGTCTGTAATTACTGAAATCTTCACTTTACCAAAAACTCTAACGAAAAATTCAAAATTAATTCCAAAGGTTAACATTTTTTAACACAGCCAAATATAGTTACCACAACATGTTTTTGCTCAATCAGACCACGAAAAGATGCCACTTTAACAAGATGGCATAACTATTTGAATTTTACACAGAAAGCAATTTTCTATATTCATAATTTCCTGATTTGTCAGGCTTTTTGAAAAGTGATCTTCAATTGGTGAACGATATTCAATAAAACAAAGTAAAAAATTATCAAATTACATTAACCTATATACTGCAAAGTTTCTCTTATTTTCTCAAATAAAACCTTTCTATTTTTCCTTATATAGTAAACAAATATACATTCTGAAAATCTTCCATGAGACAGAAACTAAAGATGTATCAAGTTTTGGGCACAGATTATCCACTTAGGAAGTATAAGGGAATAGTAACTAAATATTTAACAGTATTTTATCTTGGAAGATGCCAGAACCTAGACCAGAGGTAGGCAAAGCTTTCCTATGAAGGACTACTAATATGTTCTGCTTTCCAGGCCATATGGTCTTTATCACAAATATCCAACTCTGCCACTGTAACAGGAAAGCAACCATAAACAATATTTAAGTAGGTGTGGCTGGTTGCTAATGAAATTTTATTTTAAAATAAACAGGAGGCTAACTTGGCCATAGCTTGTAGACTCCTGTTCTAGAGAAGTAATTTCTGCTCATCAATGGTTTACCAGTGGATCCCAGGAACCTAGCTCAGGGGCTGACAAACAATGATACTAAATAACATTTAATGGTTATTCACTAGATGCCAGAACTGTGCACATACTATTGCAGTTTAGTCTAACCACCTTAGTGAGATAGGTATTACAGTGATCCTACTTGACAAACTAAGAAAACTGAGGCACAGAAATGTTAAGTAATTTACATATGGTTACCTGGCATAGGCCGGGAGTCAATCCCAGGCAAGTCTGACTAAAGAACTCTTACTAACCACTGTTATACCATCTCTCTATGTGCTTAATACTCATTAAATTTAAGAATGAATAATGCCAAACATTCAGGTTTACTTAAAATTAAAATGTAGGCTGGGCACAGTGGCTCACGCCTGTAATGCCAGCACTTTGGAAGGCTGAGGCGGGTGTATCACTTGAGGTCAGAGGTTCAAGACCAGCCTAGACAACATGGTGAAACCCCATCTCTACTAAAAATACAAAAATTAGCTGGGGGTGATGGCGTGCCTATAATCCCAGCTATTCAGGAGGCTGGGGAAGGAGAATTGCTTGAAACTAGGAGGCAGAGGTTCTGAGCCGAGATCACATCACTGTACTCCTGCCTTGGCGACAGAAGGACATTCCGTCTCAAAAATTAAATAAATAAAATAAACAAAAAATAAAAATTTATAATGTGACTCCATTATTAGGTGCACCTTTTTAAAGACACATCTTACATTTTAAAAATAGCTTTCTTAGCCAAGAGAAAAATTTAATTTAAATATTTGTGAAAATAGGGAAAAAATAAAATCATTATCACCTGTGATTGTCTTATCTCCCAAAATGAAATTTCTTCTCTGGAAAGTTTAAAAAGTTTATGTTAAAGAGATTGTGGTTTTTTCAAAATGTATTTTTTGGTTTTTGAGCCAAAGGTCACACCTAAAAGCAGATTTCTCCGGATTCAAAACTTCCAACATCTTAAGCAGTCAAGCCAACTAAGATTATATGAACAGTCAGAATAGTAACAACAAATAAATTCAAGAGGCCTGTATTGTTCTTGGAAACCAGGTGGCCACAACAATGAAACCACACACAAATATACATAATTTGCATGGGGTCCTTAACATTATTGTACTAGTGAGAAAAGGATCTCTTGTGGACTTGAGAAAAACTTTTAAGTCAGATAATACAGAAGGACTTCAGAATTAAAAATCAGTAATCAGAAATAGAAATGCTAAGCTGAATATGAAAAAAGTTAACTTTATTGAAACACTCTTAAAAGAGTATTGCCAATGCAGCCAGAAATTCAGAATTTTCTTTTATACTATGAAATAACAGAAAAAACAGCTTTTGTGTTAAAGAACATCTATTATATGTCTAAGCATACTACTTTAAGTCTAATTTCTAAATACTATTTGTAAATAGTTTCTGCCTTCTAGGGTTACTCAGTTTATGCTTCCTTTCATTTTACCTCATTAAAAATAATTTGCTTTGAGTCAAAGATTTTTCCAGCAGTAAAAGGTGAAATCTTTTTTTATAAAACAAAAAGCATCAGTGTTATTATCCTTTATATTTTCTATAGTTTAAAAAAAAAAACTTCTAAGAAAATGGAATATAATGACCACATATAACTTTAAATTTGAAGTGCTATGAGTACATGAATAGTCCACTGAAAATCTTAACTTACTATTAGTCTTACAATGTATGGGTTTCAAGTTTTCCATAACCTATTTTATTTTCAGAAGTTTTTTATTCTCAGTTTTGTCACTGTTTGCTTGTTTAATTCTGCTTCCTTCCATAGAACAAACTTGTAGTTACCAACTTAGCCATCTTTGTTAGCAGATCTGACCTTTGAGTGTGTTGATGCCCTTCATATGCTTGTGGCATCAAGCTTTCCCTTCCTTTGTTACTATTCCCCACACTATCCTAACAACTGACTGCCCCTTTTTCTTAGCACCTGTTACCCAGAGAATTAGATTATACTGTGTAGCGTTTTATTTAAAGTAGAAAACTCTTGGCATTTCTATTTCTAGAATAAGTATCTCAGTGTGGGGATTATTTCTACAGTAACTCCTATACATATATGTATTATATAGATGGCCTTCACAGAATATAAATAGGGTGAATATAAATATTCACCATTTCCTCAGCTTCTGTCTGGGAAAAAGAAAGAAACCATTTCCAGAGGCATCCATCTATAAAGGAGAATCACATAATAAATACAACTACCATCCTGGAAGTATAATAATCTCCATATTTGGTTATTTTGCATGCAATATATTATCTCAGTACCTAAACTATGTCCATTCTTGGTGTAAAAGCAGGTATTGTTGATAAGATTAACACAACAGCCAATGACATCACCAGTAGTGAAAGTTGGTCCATAAGGTTGTCCAGTTCCAGAAGAACAAAACGAATGTCCATCATCCCCATGGTAACCATATGAATGCTTATCCCAACCTAAGGAGAAAGTTCCGGCATATTTACAATGAAAAGTAAGGTTCCTCTGTACTAGGTTTATTCACTAAGATTATGATAAATCAGAACAGTACAAGATAATATAAAGATGAAATTCCCAATGTACATTTAAATTCTCAACAATTACACTACATAATTTATTCTATATTAAAATACAGTTTACAAATTTAAGAAAAATAGCTACACAGAACACTAAAACAAATATTAAACAGAGAGAACCCCCTACCAGAAAAAACAAACATAAATGCAACAACCACAGGAGGACACATTTTCTGTGCATATTCCGTTTGCTAATACACCAAAATAATTTTGTTTTGATTTAAAGAAACACATACACGTTTTATATAACATAAGAGATTACATCCTATTCAATCACTGCAAGTTTCTCAAGACTGTGATCCAAATATAAAAGCCAAACAGGGTGTGGTCTTACCACACTACAGATATGTTTATATCATCATTAAGAGATTTTTACCTTATCAGTTACTTCTATAAGGAGTTTTCAAATAATAAAAACCTCAATTAAACCCTCTTTCAAGTATAATTTTAAGCAAAAGGGTACAAAACAAAGCATGTCAAGGTAACATATGTGATTACAATCAGATGCAACTACATTGTCTTGGTTTGTTTCTTTAAGGTACTTCATGTAGTTTGACATTGACAGTTTTGCCTTGTACTTCAAAAAGTCTCGCCAAAATTAATTTTTAATTTTAGCAAAGAGAGTATTAGAAGACATAATCCAAGAATCACTTCCTTCTCATAAGTGGTACTGGGAAACAGGTCTGGATCTCAATTCATCTCTTCCTTAGTTTACTTTAAGTATTAGTCGATATTCCCTGAATATTAAGATGGGTTAAAAGTCAAAAATGTGATGGGTAGCCAATATAACTAGCCACATTAAAATATTTAAAGTAGCTGATATTACTATGTACTAAAACTTAAAAATATAAAAATACAAAAAAAAGCATGATATATATACTATATGTTTTACTAAATAGTGTGAAATTTAAATTTATTAAAAACCGCTCAGCAGGCTGGGCATGGTGGCTCACGCCTGTAATCCTAACAGTTTGGGAGGCCGAGGCAGGTGGATCACCTGAGGTCAGGGGCTCGAGACCAGCCTGGCCAAAATGGCAAAACCCCATCTCTACTAAAAATACAAAAATTAGCCGGGCCTGGTGGCGCATGCCTGTGATCCCAGCTACTTGGGAGGCTGAGGGCAGGAAAACCGCTTGATCCCAGGAGGCAGAGGTTGCAGTGGGCCAAAACTGCGCCACTGCCCTCCAACCTGGGTGACACAGTGAGACTCTGTCTCAAAAACAAAACAAAACAAAAAAACCCCACTCAGCTTTCACTTAAAATTCATAATGATGATTAAAAACACAGAAAATCAGTATCTTTAAATATTACAATTTCTTACTTGAAAAATTTAACCAGAAAGAGCTACTCATAAGACATAATACTGTAATTCAATTACAAGTGTACCTGGTAGTCTATTCATGTTCACACCTTGAGCAGAAAGACCAATTCCCATGTAACTGTTGGCGGAGGTTGGGGGAGAGAAGAAAAGGACATTATTACAGTCATATATGTATAAATTACCAAACAGTCTCAAACAATATCAGAACCAAGCCCAAGTTGGAACTCCTAAGGTAGCAACAAAAATTTTATTACAATTTATTATGTAACAACAACGGGCAATATTAAGTACCAGTAATACTCAGACTTCACAGCAAACTCATATGGTAATAATTCATAAATACACACAAAGCATTAATATACAGCTATGCACTCTACTGACACCTATAAAAAATCTCGCCAACTTATTTACAGATAAATGTTTGGGATTAAGATTTCTCACAAAAAAAGCACAGAGGGATTGCAGAAGGAAAAAAAATGTTAAGGAAACAAATGTGTTTCCCAAGGGACACAGTACAAATTTAGACCCCACACACACACACATACACACACACACACACACACACACACACACACACACACGGAAATATGGATTCATATTTGGAAAAAATTTCAAACTCACATAAAAATATCTTAATAAAATTACCCCAAGGTATGTATTTTCTATACTAGCTTTCTAAAACTGAGCAAACTGACAAAATCTACCTAAACAGAGGGTTCTTTATTATCAATTTATAAAGTTAGAACAAAACAGTCTCCACACAATACACAAGGGAAGATTATTAAGGTATTCAATTATTTTTCAAGTGCTTATAAAACATTAACAACAAAACCTGATAAATATAGTTCAAAGGAAGAAAACATAACACAATACACTTGTAAGTATTAACACAAAAGGAAAAACAAAATAAAAAGCAAACTGAATCCAGTTTGTTAAAAGGCTAATTGCCCATTATTGTTATCAAGGTTTTAAATGGCATTTGATAAAATTCGGCCACCATTCCTAATAAGAACTCCAATAAAATAAGAATAAAAGGAAATTATTTAACTATGAGACTTTTCCCCCAAATACAGCAAGCAAGATATTCAACAGTAAAACACACTGAAGGCATTTCCACTAAAATCAAGAACAAAGAGATGCCTATAATTGTTAAATACTGTTTTAGGGGCTTTAGAAAGCTTAATAAAATAAGAAAACTAAATGACTAGCATAAATGTTAAAAGATATAAAAGTACCTTTATTTGTAGTTGGTATGATTATATACATAGAAAACCACAGAATCTACCAAAACCTTTTATAATTATTTAGGCATTCTGGCAAAGTGACTACATGTAAGAGGAACATTTTAATATTTCTTCTAGTATAGCCAGCTGGACAGCCACAATAACTACAGAAAACATAAAACAGGAATAAGGTTCTCAAGGAAGGCTCAAAATTACATATTAAAAGCTGTATATAAATGGATATAGTTAACTTCTGGATAACTGGAGAGCATAAAAATGGCAATCTTTCAGATAGGCACAGAGGCTCACACCTGGAATCCCAGCACTTTCAGAGACTGAAGCAGGAGGATCTTTTGAGCCCAAGAATTCAAGACCAGCCTGGGCAACATTGGGAAACCTTGTCTCAAAAAAAAACAAAACCATCAGTTGTGTGCGGTGGTGCACACCTGTGGTCCTAGCTATGTGGGGGACTGAGGTGGGAGGACTGCTTGACCCCAGGAGGTTGAGGCTGCAGTGAGACATGAATGATCACACCACTGCACTCCACCCTGAGTGATAGACCAGGACTCTTGTCACTCAGGCTGGAGGGCAAAAACAAAAAAAGGAGGACAACCTTTCTAAAATGATGTAGACACACATTTATACATTTCAAGACATATTCCAACAGAAGTTTTAAAACTGAGCAAAATTATTTCAAAGTTCATATGTAAAAATATATAATTTTGATCAAGACAAAATTTTAAAAAAGAAAACTCAGAGTTTTCCCTACTAGAAATTAAAACTCAGATTCACAAGAGCAATATTACTACTATGAGCATATGCCAAGTGAGACAAGAGTGACAAAACATTAAGAAACAACACATAGATGTCTAGTCAAGAAGGCTCATTAAGTTTGTATTTTGATTCAGCCCCTTTGCTAGAAGTACAATATAAAATGTTAAGTATTACTTTTTATTTAGAAAGGCTAAGTCACAAGAAGATGAGAAGAAACACAAGGCTGTGAATGGGGATATAAGCTGTGGACCTGCAAAGCTCTGAGTCTATGAGCACTCAATAGTGGCTCAAAGTTCCCCCTCCTCTGGGTAAACAAGGACTAAAAATGTTCCATAAGAGGAGTATTAGCTATGCTTACTGCTTAAAGCCAAAGGCTGGAATAGCCTTCTCCTCTTGAAAGGAAGCTAAGAATATACTGATATCCCCTGTTGCCTAAGCTAGAGCTTATTTGACATTGTGGTGTAGTTAAGGGGAAAGAGAGAGGAGAAACCTCTTAACCAGGATCTAAACCAGTTAGTTATTGAATGGATCCATGACAGAACCTGCAATACTCTCAATATCATGCTGAAGCAAGAACCCGGAAACTCTAATACAAACCTAGTTTTGGATTGGGAGGAATGAATTGAAAATCAAGTAAAAACTGTAAGAAAGAAAATAAGCATAGAAAAAGACAGATGGGCAAAATGAAGAAAAATGTTAAACTTCCCAATCAAAATAAGGCTGCAAGGACAAAATTCTAAAATATAATATCAACAAATGTGACACAACAGGCATGTGGGAAAAAAAATGAGAAAAAAAGAGAAAGACCAATAAAATAAATGGCTGGAACATGAATTCATTCTAGATGATATCACCCAATGGATAGTATGATTTTAAAAAAACATAAAAATAAGTATATTTAGGAATATACTAAAAGAAAAAAACATAATCACTAAGATATAAGGACAGTGGTGTACCAATATTTGCTGAGATAATTTAGATAGTAATTTTCCAGAATTGAAAAACATGTTGTTGAACTGAAAATACACACTACATACTGAGGAAGATAAAAATTAAGTCACACATAAGACACACTGTAGAATATCAATCACGGGCATAATCTTAAAAGCTACCAGAAAGAAAAGCAGATTACCTAGCAAGAAATGGCAATTAGACTGACTTCAGACTTCTCCCCAGCAACAACTGATGACGAAAAACAATGGCACAATATGTTCAAAGTATTGAAAGTAAAGTAACTGTCTACCTAGAACTTAGGTCCCAGGTAATGCAGCAAGAATGAGGGAAAAAATAAGATATTTTAAGACACATAAAAGCTAATGGTTTACTATACACAGACTGTCACAAAAGAACTATCTGACGACATACTTTAGCAGCAGGGAGACAAGTGAAAATAGAAGAAAAGCATGGACAAGGAAACAATCAGCACAGAAAATGACAAAATATATCACTAAAAGTCATTATCAATTTAAAAAATACTATTCAGAGTTTTAAAATCTATCATCCATACATAATGTGCTAGAACACAATTACCCGACATACAAAGGAACAAAAAATATCCATGCTCAAAAGAAAGCACAAACAGGGAATGGCCCTGAGACAATCCAGATGTGAGAATTAGCAGACAAAAAAATTTAAACCAGGTACTGTTACAATGCACAAGATGTAGGGAGAAATACTCTTGCTTTGAATGAAAAGAAATTCCAGAAAAGAAAAAGAATCAATAAAAAGGGACTACTATGGTCTGAATGCGTGTGTCCCCCAAAATTCTTATGTTGAAACCCGGTCCCTAATATGGTGGTATTATGAGATGGGGCCTCTGGGAGGTCATGAAGGCTCCACCCTCAGGAATGGGATTTTTGCCCTAATAAAAGAGGCGTGAGAAGGCTTGTTTGCCCCTTCTGCCATGTAAGGACACATAGGTGTTTTCTATGAAGCAGAGAGTTCTCACCAGAAACTGAATCTGCTGGAACCTTTTAAACTTGGGCTTTCAAGCCTCCAGAACTGTGAGCAATAAATGTATGCTGTTTATACAATAAATTACCCGGCCTAAGGTGTTTTGTTACTGCAGCCCAAACAAAAACAAGAACCAAACAGAAATTCTGGAGCTGAAAACTGTATGAAATAAATCTTTACTGATGTACTTAATGGCAGACTGAAGATGGCAAAACAAATAGTAACATGAAAACAGACCTTATCTGAAGGACAGAGAAAAAAAGGTAGGGGTATGGGGGGAAAGAGTCCTTGGAACAGTATCAAAATACATATAACCAATCCCAAGGAAAAAGAGAATAGGACAGAAAAGAAATTGAAAATAATTCCCCAAATTTGGTAAAAGACAAAAACGTATAGATTCAAGAAGCTCAGCAAACATTAATTAAATAAAAAGAAAACCACACCTAGGCACAAATCACAGCTGAACTGCTGAAAACTAACAAAAAAGAAAAAAAGTGCAGAAAACAGCTAGAGAAAAACGACATATTACTTTCACAGGAACACTGAGTTGAATTTCCACTGACTTATTAGAAAATATAAGGCCAGAAGACAGTGGAATGAAATCTTTAAAAGTGCTAAAAAGAAAAAAAACCCAAAAGCCTGCCAACACAAAATGTTATTTTCAAGAGAAATATTCTTAAGAATAAAAGTGAAACAAACACATTTTCAGATAAAAGAAAAACATAATGTGTTGCTAGCAAACCTACACTTAAAAAAATGCTCTTAATTTTCCTAAAACACGACTCTTTAAAGCAAAAATGGTAACATGTATTGTGTAGTTTATAACATACCATAGATGTAATACATATGACAATTACAGCAAGGACAGGAGGAAGTGATAAATGTAGAAATGCAAGTTTCTATATTTTACATAAAATGGTTCAATATTAATTCTCAACAGGTTATGAAAAAAGATACACAAAATCTAGAATGGCTAAAAATAGCAGAGACATAAAGGTCAGTAAATAAAAAGAAATTCTAATAATGTATCAAAACGATAACATATGATTACTAGATAGTGTTTAACCCAAGAACAAAAGATTGGTTTAACATTCAAAACCAATCAATGTATTTTTCTATACTAGGGGAAAATTCCTATCATGAAATAGCTGCAGTGAAAACACCTGATACAATTTAACACCATTCAAAATAAATACACTTGGCAAACTAACAAGGGAACTTCCTCAACCTGTACCTACAAAAACTCTACAACTTACATGCTTAATAGTGAAATACTGAACACTATTCTCCAAGGACCAACAAAAAAGCAAGAAGGCCAGTGCTCACCACTCGTATTCAACACCATACTACAAATCCTAGCCATTTCAACAAGGCAAAAAAGAGAAATAAAATGCATAAAAATCAAAAAGAAATAAAGCTGGCTCTATGTACAGATGATATGACTGTTTATAAAGAAAATCCTAAGGAATCTACAAAATAACTGCAATAAGTGAATTTAGGAAGGTTGCAGGATACAAAGTTAATATACAAAGTCCACTGTATTTGGCAGCAAATACTAGAAAAACAAAATTTAAAAAACCAATTCTATCTACAACAGCATCAGAAAACATAAAACATCGAACAAAAGCCATGCAGCCCTCTCTACTAAAAATTACCAAACATCACTTTGGGAAATCTTAAAAGACGTAAATAAATGGCAAAACATATCATGTCTACGAATTGGGCACCTCAACTGCAATTCTCTTCAAACTGATCACAGAGTCAACACAATCCAAAGCATAACCACAATAGGCTTTTCTTTTTTTTTAATCTGAAAAGCTGATTCTAAAGTGTATATAGAAGCTGATTAATGAATGTACATACACAGCTTAATAGAAGAAATAAGACCTAGTGTTAGATCAGTAAGATGACTATAGTTCACAATATTCTATTGCACATTTCAAAATAGCTAGAAGAGAGTAATTCAAATGTTTCCAGCATAAAGACAAATATTTAAGGTAACAGATACCCCCAATACACTGATTTGATCTTTACAATTATATGAATGTATTATCACTGTACCCCCAAAACATGGACACCTATTATGCAGCTATAAAAAATTTAAATTAAATAAGTAAAATGTATATGGAAATGTGAAGGATCTAAAACATCCCAAAAAAGCTTGGAAAGCTGTAGAAGTTACACAATCTGACTTCAAAACATAGCATGGGCTGAGTAATCTAAACAGTATGGTACTGGCTTAAGGATCAACAAATAGATCAATGCAACAGATTAAGGAGTCTAACAAAGAGACCCACATTTATAGTCATTTAATATTTTACAAAAGTGCCTAGACAGTCCAAAAGAGGATGGAAAGTCTTTTGAACAAATAGTAAAAAGATAACTGACATCCATGTGGAAAAAAGTAAGCCTTAATCTCTATCTCACACAATACACAAAAATCAAATGAAGATGAATCACAGTCCTAAATATAAATGTTAAAAACTATAAAGGTTCTATAAGAAAACATGTAAAACTATCTTAATGACTTGAGGATAAAGCAAAGATTTATTAGGACACAAAAAGGAAGACCCATAAAAGAGTAAACTCATAAATAAAACTTTAGCAAAATTTAAAACTTAACAAAAGACATAGATGATCCAATTTTCAAAAATGAACAAAAGGTCTGAATAGATATTTCACAAAATAAGATACTGCAAACAGCCAAGGAGTACATGAAAAAGTGCTCCAAATTGTCAGTCATCAGGAAAATGCAAATTAAAACCACACTGAGATACAACTGCATACCTGCCAGAATAATTAAAATTTATAAAACCAACAAGATCAGTGTTGCCAAGCATATGGCACAACAGGAACTTTCATATGTTTTTGGTGGGAATTTAAAACAATAAAACCTCTGAAACAAAGGCTGGCAGTTGCTCATAGGACTGAACACCTGCCTACCCTACGACCCAGCAATACCACTCATAAGAAAAATGAAGATGTGTCTACCAAAAAAATTTGTACAAATAGGTTCATGGCAGATTTCTTCACAACAGTGAAAAACTTGAAACAGCCTGGCTATCCATCAACAAGCGAACAGATATACAAATTGTGGTATATTCTACTCAGCAACAAAAACAAAAATACAATTACTGATAAACACAAATGGATCAATCTCAAAATGTCATGCTGACTCAAGGAAGCTTTACATACAAGAAGAGCATATGTCATATAATTCCTTTTATATGAAATTTTGCAACAAGAAAAATCAATCTAAGGTAGTAAACAAGTCAAAACAGTGGCTGCCTCTGAAAGGGTGGCTCAAGGGCCTAACTAGGAAGGAGCATGAGGGAACATTTCTGAGAATGATGATGTTCTATACTTTGATAGAGGTTTGTATTTCATGGGCATACACATCTGCAAAACTTATCAAAGAGTACACTTAAGATGTGTGCATTTCACCAAATGTAAACTGTACCACACACACACACACAAAAAGAGAAGTAAGCTGACATCAAACTCTAGTTAATGATATATACATGCTGTAGTGATTAGGAGGGAAGTATACCTACACTGAAATGTATCAAAGACTAAGACGGATCAACTGATGAAAAGAGGAATAAAGAGATACCTTATAAAATAATTATAGTCAGGTCCGCTATATCATGACATACGAGTTTCAAAAAAACCACATTATACAAAATCATGCAATAAAAGCTACAAGGTTTACGAAGGAAATGGGATTGGAAGCACAGCATGCAAAAATGTCAGTAACACATTTTTGAAAAGATAAGAACCCAATAAAAACAATTTTACACCAATTAAATTATTAAGGAATAGGCCAGGCACAGTGGCTCATGCCTGTAATCCCAAAGGAAAACAAAACTGGGAGGCCATGGTGAGAGAAGCGCTTGAGTCCAGGAGTTCAAGACCAGCCTGGGACCCCGTCTCTCCAAAAAAAAAAAAAAAAAAAAAAAAAAAAGATTGGCAGGGTGGTGCATTGCCTGTAGTCCCAGCTACTCGGGAGGATCACTTGAGCCTGAGAGGTCGAGGCTGCAGTAAGACATGATGGTACTACTGCACTCCAGTCTGGGTGACAGAGGCCTTGTCTCAAAACAACAACAACAACAAAAAATTGTTATGGAATAAATACTACAAGAAAGTGAGTATTTTACCTTGAAAAACACCTAAGTTTATGCCTGGGAAATGGGTGTCATAAGAGTTACCACTTGTGAGTTACTGTGAAGTGATGAAAGGAGGGTTATCTGACAAAGGGAAATTTGTAATACCAGTTGTGGCTGGGTGTGGCTCATGACACACAGTAAACTGAATAGCTGGTAGATATATAAAGGCTATCTGACATATAAAAACAAACTCAATCCAACAGTGAGGGACAGGCAAAATTTATGTGAACAAGAAATTTATTATTGTGGTACTATGTGTTTACCAAGAGCAATGAACATGAAGATTTTTCAGATCAATATGTCAACGTAGATCATCACAAATTATGCATTTATTAACAGTTATGTAAGTAATGTTTGTGCCTAACATACAATGGAGACTAACAGCATTCTAGTTTAATTCCTATTATTGATAGGCTTAAGCCTACTATCTTGCTATCTGTCCATCTGTTCTCTCCATCTTTTTCTGTGTTCTTTTTAATTCTTATTTTTGTTTTATGGCCATTATTAGTTTTCTGCTATACCTTTTGGCAGTATATTAATGACTACCTTATTAAGATTTTAATGCATCTTTGATCTATTACATTCTTGATTAAGTTAGTATATGTATCACATGCTGGCAATGCAAGAAACACTTTTAAAAACCTATTTACAGTGATGTTCCACATAACAAATGTTTCGGTCAACAACAGACCGCATGTACAACAATAGTCCTATAAGATTATAATGGAGCTGTTCTATACAAGTGTGCCATTTTAAATCTTTTATACCACACATTTTTACTGTATCTTTCCTATGTGATGTATTTAGATACACAAAACCATTGTGTTACAATTCCCTATTGTAACACAATAACAAGCTATTCAGTTTTGTAGCCTAGGAGCAGAGCAATAGACCACACAACATGGCCTAGGTGTTTAATAAGCCATGTGGTATGGTCTATACCATTTAGGTTTGTGTAAGTACATTCTATGATATTCCTACAATGACAAAATCACCTAACCACACATTCTTCAGAACGTATCCCCATTCTTACGCAACACATTTTTTGTTACTGTTGTCAAAAATTAAAATTAAATAAAAAAGAAAGATCTCTAATTAGTAATCCAATTTCTACCATTAAGAATGAACTAAACCCAAAGCAGGTAGCAGAAAAGGAATTATAAAGATTAGGGGAGAAATAAGAGGAGAGACTAGAAAAACAATAGAATCAACAAATTCAAAAGTAGGTTCTACTAAGCAAGAAAAATAAAAGAAGACTCAAATTACTAAACATCAGGAATTACAAGAGTATTACTACTAAACTAAAAAGGATCATAAGAAAACAATTATTAAATACTATGAACAATGAATTACATAACCTCCTTTAAATGGACAAATTCCTAGAAAGACACAAACTACTGAAACTGCATAGTAATTTTAAAACACAAAGACAAGCCCGTGCTCAGATGGCTTCACTGGGGAAATCTACCAAACATAAAAATTAACATTAATCTTTCCCAGACTCTTCCAAAAAAGCTAGAAATACTTCCTAACTCATTCTACAAAGCCAGTACTATCTTGTTACCAAAACTAGATAAAGGCATCACAAAAAAACTACAGAAAAAATATCCTTCATTAATACAAATGCAAAAATCCTCAACAAATTACTAGGAAATCAAATCCAGCAACACATAAAAAAGATTATAAATCATGACCAAATGGGATTTATATCCCAAAAACATGAAGTTCGTTTAACAAACAAAAATCAATCAATGTAATATATTAAGAAAATAAAGAACAAAATCCATATAATCATCTCAACAGGCATAGAAAAAGAATTTCACAAAACTCATCACCCTTTCACGATTTAAAAAAAATCATGAAAAATCATGACTCAGCAAGCTTGAAACAGAAGGAAACTTCCTCACACTGATAAAGAACATCTATGAAAAATCCCCAGCTAACAGCATACTTAGTGGTAAAAGACTGAATACTTTGACCTTAAGATTAGGGACAAAAAAAAGGATGTCTTCTCTCACCACTTCTATTCAACATAGTACTGAAACTTCTACCCTGGGCAAGAGGGCAAGAAAAAGACATAAAAGCCATCAGATCAGAAAGCAAGAAATAAGCATCCTCTATTGACAGATGGCACAATTTTGTATATAGAAAATCCTAAAGAATCTCCTCCCCCAAAATTATTAAAAGTAATCAAGTTCAACAAGACTACAAGATACAAGATTAATATGCAAAAATCAGTTGTATTTCTACACACTAGAAATAATTTGAAAATGAATTTAAGAAAATACTTTCATTTGGAACAGAATAAAAAAAAAGAATACTTAGGAATAAATATAACAAAAGAAGTGTGAAATCTGAACACTAAAAACGACATTGTTGAAAAAATGAAAGAACTGCTAAGTAAATGGAAAGACTCCCCATGCCATATTCATGGATTTGAAGACTAAATGCTGTTAAAATAGCAATACTCCCCAAATTAATCTAGAGATTCAACACAAACCCTATCAAAATCCTAACTTGCTTTGCTGCAGAAATTGACAAACTGATCCTGAAATCATACACAAATGCAAGGGCCCAGTAGAGCCAAAATAATCTTGAAAAAGAACAAAAAAGTTGGAAGACTCACACATTCCAATTTTAAAACTCAATAAAAAGCTACAGTAACCAAGAGAATGTGTTGCTGGCTTAAAAACAGACATAGAGATCAATGCCATAGAATTGAGATTTCAGAAACTCTTGTATTCACGATCAATTAATTTTGTTATTGTTGTTGTTTTGCGACAAGTAAGGTCTCACTTTAACCAGGCTGCAGTGCAGTGGCATGACCACAGCTTACTGCAGCCTTTTTTCTCCCGATTAGGTGATCCTCACACCTCAGCCCCCGAGTAGCTGGGACTACAGTTGCATGCCACCATGCCTGGCTAACTTTTTTTCGCATTTTTTGTACAGACAGGGTTTCTCCATGTTGCCCAGGCTAGTCTCAAACTCCTGGGCTCAAGCAATACTGTCCACCTTGGCCTCCCAAAGTGTTGGGATTACAGGTGTGAGCCACAGCATCTGGTAGATGAATTGATTTTTGACAAGCAGGAAAAAACAATCCAGTGGGGAAAGAACTGGTTTTTTTTTTTTCAACAAATGGTACTGGGAAAACATACAAATGCAAATGAATGCAGCTGAGGTCGGGCACAGTGGCTCAAGTCTATAATCCCCGCGCTTTGAAAGGCCAAGGTGGTGGGTGGATCACTTCAAGTCAGGAGTTCAAGACCAGCCTAGCCGACATAGCAAAAGCCCATCTGTACTAAAAATACAAAAATTAGCCAGGTGCAGTGGCACATGCCTGTAGTCCCAGCTTCTCGGGAGGCTGAGGCATTAGAATTGCTTGAGCCTGGGAGGCGGAGGTTGCAGTGAACTCAGATTGTGCCACTGCACTCTGGCCTGGGTGACAGATTAAGATTCTGTCTCAAAAATAAAAAAATATTTTCAAAAAGAATGTAGCTGGATCCCTATCTCACACCATATATAAAAATTAACACAAAATGGATTAGAGAGCTAACTGAAGAGCTAAAACTATGAAACTCTTAGATGAAAACACAGATGTAAGTCTTTCTGATAGTGGCTTAAGACAATGGTCTCTTAGATATGACATCAGAAGCAGAAGAAACACAAGAAAAAATAGACAAACTAGGCCAGGTGTGGTGGCTCATGCCTGTAATCCCAGCACTTTGGGAGGCTGAGGCAGGCAGATCACGAGGTCAGGAGATCGAGACCATCCTGGCTAACACGGTGAAACCCCGTCTCTACCAAAAATACAAAAACAAAATTAGACGGGCGTGGTGGTGGGCGCCTGTAGTCCCAGCTACTTGGGAGGCTGAGGCAGGAGAATGGTGTGAACCCGGGAGGTGGAGCTTGCAGTTAGCCAAGATCATACCACTGCACTCCAGCCTGGGAGACAGAGCAAAATTCCATCTTAGAAAAAAAAAAAAAAAAAAAAGTAGACAAACTAGACTCCATAAAATTTAAAATTTTTGTGATTTAAAGGATACTGTCAAGGAAACTAAAAGACAATTCACAGAATGGCAGACAATATATGCAAATCATATATCTGATAGGGTAACTTTTTACAGTATATATAAAGAACTCTTACAGCTCAATAAAAGGAAAACCCTACTAAAACAATGGGCAAAGGATCTGAATAGACATTTCTTCAAAGATGTATAAATGTCCAATAAGCAAGTAAAACTATGTTAATCATTAGTAATTAGAGATGCAAATCAAAAGACACTATGAGCTCTCATTTTACATACACTAGGATGGCTAGAATCAAGAAGATATGTGTTGACAAGAATGTGGAGAAACTGCAACTATCATAGCTGGTAGTAAGTAAAATGGTACAGCCACTTTGGAAAACCGTCTGGCAGCTCCTCAAAAAGTTAATCATAGGGTATCTATGACCCAGAAATTACACTCCCATTTTCTGCAATAAAAATGAAAACACATAGCCATACTATGTTACACAATTCTTCATAACAGCAATATTCTTAACAGTCAAAAAGTGTTTCCACCAACCAATGGATAAACAAAATGTGATATATTAATACAATGGAATATTAATTTGGCAACAAAAAGGAATGGAGTATTGATATATGATACAGCATAAATCAACCTTTAAAACATTAACCTTTAAAACATGTTAAGATAAAGAAGTCAGAAACGAGAGGTCACATTTTGTATAATTCCATTTATATGAAATGTCCAGAATAAGTAAATCCATAAAAACAAAATAGTTAGTTGCTGCCTGGAACTGGGAGGAGTGAGTGTTTTGGGGTTCCTTTTTCAGGTGACAAAAATGTTTAAAAATTAAATAGTAAGGGTTGCATAACTCTGTGAATATAGTAAAAATTACCAAATTGTGCATTTTTAAAGGGTGAATATGTACATGAATTATACATCTCAATACAACTCTCATTAAAAAAATAAAGATGACAACTTTGTTCCACTCTATTACGTAAACAGCTTGGAAATCATCACTCCCATCCTCACAAGAAAAAAAGCAGAACAACTGAAAATCAACTACTCTTAGAAGCACTGGAAAACTGAGTTCACAGGTCACAACACCTCCAGAAAAACTGAAGAAACATGTGAATATAGACATATGGAGCTATATTTACTCTAAAGCCAATAACTGGAAGGAACACTTTAAAAGTAAGTAGCAAACTGCTGGAGACTGAGAGTGAACTAACTTGAGCTTTAACTTGTGAGGGCTCAGTCTTAAGGAAGAATATAGGTGAGAAAAGGAGCTCCACCTGGTTTTTATTAGAGTAAAATCCCTCCATTTTGAGTAGGGAAAAGGGAAAAGTAACCATTTTGAAATCTGACCTAGAGTAAGAGCAATAATTCCAGCCCCCTCTAACCTGCCTGAGAGGAGGGAAGAAAAAAGCTTAAGAAATTCTTTTGAAGGTCCGTTCAGGAACTCTGGTCCACTAAAAAACCCAACAGATTTCATCATATGATTATAGAACACTTCTCCTCTCTACTAAACAGGGCTCCAATATAACAGATTACAACTGAGAAAATTACAAGAAATAGACTTTTTTTAATTAATAAAAGTTTCTAAGGAAACTCAAAACAAGACAAAAACCAGGAAAGTAGAGGAAAATGAAATGTCTTATACCTACAAACAATATAAATACCTAGTGAACATTAAACACAGCCTAACTCCCAGCCAGATAAACCTAAAATCTCACATTAAACACCTGTTTACCTGAGTTTCTACTACTCAATAAGCCATGTCCAGATTTCAACAAAAAATTGCAAGGCATGTAACAGGCAAGGAAAAGGTCTGAAGAGACAAAGCAAGCATCGAAACCAAACTCAGATAAGGTAGATTTTGAATGATCAAACTGGACATTTTAAATAACTCATTAAAATGCTAAGGGCTATAAGAAAGAATCAAAACAAAATGCTAGAAATAAAAAGCATTAACACAAATAAAGAATGCCTTTGACGAGCAATCAGCAGACTAAAAAAAACAACAATCAGTGAGCTTGAAAAAAAACTGGAACATGGTATTTGAGAATGGAGGACAACTATAAAAGGTGAAAAATATTCATAATAGTAATGCTAGAAGGAGAAGAAACAAAGAAAATGAAGTATTTGAAGTAATGATGGTTGATGATTTTCCAAAATTAATGACAGATCCCCCAAACCCCAAATCCAGAAAGCTCAGAAAACACTAAACAGGATAAACATCAAAACATCAACACCTCATCTTCAAACCTAGGTCAAAGACAAAGAGTAGGTCTTGAAAGAAATCAGGAAAAAACAAAACAAAACACTCACTCTATATAAAAGAAGGGCAAGAATTATATCAGATTTCTCTTCAGAAATCATGTAAGCAAGAAGAGAGTGGAGTGAAATATTTAAGTGTTGGGAAAAAACCCCACCAAGCTAGGATTTAGCATCCAGAGAAATTATCCCTCAGAAGTGAAAGAAAAATAAAGACTTTCTCAGACAAACAAAAATAGAGGGAACTTGTGGCCCACAAACTTGCCTTGCAAGAAATGTTACACGTTCTTCAGAGAAAAGGAAAATGATATAGGTGAGAAAATAGAATCCTTATGAAGAAAGGGAGAGTCCAAGAAGGAATAAATGAAGATACACTCTTTTATTTTTCTTAATCTTAATTGATCACATAGATAAGTATTCAAAATAGTAACAATATCTTGGGTAACTGCTGACTATGGATAAGTGAAATGAATAACAGCAATGCTATAAGGGACAGGAGGGAGGAGTTGGTTATATTCTGTTATAAGGTACCTGCACTATGTGTGAAGCAGTGTAAATGGTATTTAAAAATGAACTTAGATGAGCTCTAAGGGAAACTACCAAAAAATCTTTTTTAAAGAAGTACAATTAGTATTTTATACAGAAAAGAAAAATGGAATAATATACAATGCTCAATTAAAATCAGACAATGGGCTAGGCACGTAGCTCATGCCTGTAATCCCTTCAGAAGGCCGAGGCAGGAGGATCACTTGAGCCCAGGAGTTCAAGACCAGCCTGGCCTACATGGCAAAATCCCATCTCTATAAAGAATACAAAAAATTAGCCAGGTGTGGTGGTGTGCCCTTGTAGTTCTAGCCACTTGGGAACCTGAAGTGGGAGAATCACTTGAGTCCAGGAAGTCAAGGCTGCAGTGAGCTGAGATCCCGCCACTGCACTCCAGCCTGGGTGACAGAGGGAGACCTTGTCTCAAAAAAAAAAAAAAAGTACATTTTAAAATAAGCAACAAGGAACAAGTATAATGAGTAAGAAACAAATATGGTAGACACTAAAACCCAACTTTAACAATACTTTCAATGTGAATCATCTAAATATACCAATTAAAAGACAGAACTGACAAGAGTGAACAAAAAGACCCAAATATATGTTGTCTACAAGAAACTCACTCTAAATATAAAGACACAGATAGGTTAAAGGGATGGAGAAATACATACAATGCCAACACTGATCAAAAGGCAGCTGGACTAGTTATATTAATTTCTAACAAAGCAGAATTCAGAACAAGGAAAATTATCGGAGAAAAACAGGAATAGTACATAATGATCAAGGATCAATTATCAAACAAGATATAACAATCCTTAATTGTCAAGGGTCGTGATCAACTCAGTATAGTACTGGAGGCTATATGTGCAAACAGCAAACTGTTTCTCATAAAAGCAGGATGTCGGCAAACTGACAAACTGTGTCTGTTGCCCAGAAGGAATGCTGAGGGCAGCCACCACCCAGGCACAAGTGTTTCTTCTGATTAGGCATAACTGAAACCTGTTAGCAATAATGTGAACCTGTGATCAATCCAGCAGCTGACCAATCATTACCTCCTCCTGCTGCTCTTTCTACCCAATACATATTAAGGGCTGTAGAGTCTTAGGCAGCTGCCTTTGCTCACTAAAAGCAGGGAGCCCTTTTCTTCTTCTCTTCTCCTTCCCCATGTTACCCTTACTTTAAAGTAGTTACCTTTGTCTTAAGTTTTCATTTCTATGTCTGTCCCCCTTGATTCAGTCTCATAATGATGGTCTCAAGTAGTAACAGTAATAACTGTCTCAGTGACAGTCTCAAGTAGTAACTGTGGCAGTCAGCCACACTTAATGTGTCTGAGCCTAACAACAAAGTGTCAAAAGATGTGAGACAAAAACTGATAGAGCTACGAGAAGCAGCAGTTAACTCCACAGCTATAACTGAAGACATCAACACCCCTATATCAACAACTGGCAGACACAGCAGGCAGAAAACCAGTAAACATATAGTCAAACTGAAAAGTATCATCCATCAACTGGATTTCATTGACATTTATAGTATACTTTATCCAATAACCGCATAATACATATTCTTCTTAAGCTCACAAAAACATTCACCAAAACAGAACACATTCTGGGACATAAGAAAGACATGCCTTAACTAAAGTCATACAAACTATGCTCTCAGACTTTAATAGAATTAAACTAGAAATCAACAAAAGAAAGATAGCTGGAAAATCCCCAAATATCTGGAGATTAAACAACACATTTTAAAATAACACATCAAAGAAGTCTAAAGAGAAATTTAAAACTATTTTCAACTAAATGAAAACAACTTATCAAAATTTGTGGGATGCAGTGAAAGCAGTGCCTACAGAGAAATTTATAGCACTGAATGTAATGGTGATCTAAAAATCAATGATTTAACTTTCCGCCTTAGGAAACTGGAGCAATAAATACAAACCTAGAGAAAGAAGAAGAAATGAGAAATAGAGATAGCAATGAAATTTTAAAAAATAAAATAAAATAAAATAAAAATCAACAAAATTAAAAGCCAGTTCTTTGAAAAGATCAGTAAAATTGATAAACCTCTAGCCAGGATAACCAACAAAAAAAAAACACAAATTATTAATACCAAAATCAAAGACATAAGAAACTATTATTATCAGTAATAATATCAATACTGATCCCAGACATTAAAAAAGTATTAAAGAAACATTTATAACTAACTTTATGCCCACAAATTTGATTATTTAGATGAAATGGATTTCAAGGCAATTCCCTGAAAGATATAATTTATCAAAACACACAAGGAGAAAATGAAAATCTGAATATGCCTCTATAGATTAAAAAATTAAATCAATAATTAATAACCTTTACAGAAATGAGAAAGAAGAGGAAGAACTCTGGTAACTAGATCGAATTGTAGTGTCAAAATAAACTCCATCCATTGAAAGAGCCTAGAAGCAATGATACCCAAGAGTAGAAAGCACACCCATAATAAATCTATTAAATAAAATTCAAGAATATTTGTTGCATAATGTTTGTCCTCAGAATATATCCAATAAGGGTGTACGATATATTGTGTTCAAAAGTTATCTGCATTCATTATTTTTTTTTATTGTGGTTATTGTTTGTAAAAGCTAAATAAAAACATATACTCAGAAAAAAATAATAGTAACAATTAATAACCTTCCAAAAAAAACAAACACTGGGCCCAGATGGCTTCAGGGTAATTCCAACCAAACATGTAAGGAAGAAATAACACAACTGTCTCCAATCTTTTCCAGAAAATACACTCAGAGGGTACACTTTCTAAGTCATTCTGAGTCTAGCATTACCCTAATGCCAAAACCAAATAAAGACATTACAAGAAGGGAAAACTGCAGACAAATATCTCTTATGAACACAGATGCAAATATCCTCAATAAAGTATTAGCAAATCAAATCCAACAAGGTATACAAGAACTATACCTCCTTGAAGTCTGGATATTAAAATAAATAAATTAAATTAAAATTTTAAAAAAAGAACTATACACCAAGACTAAGTGGGATTTATCCCAGGTATGCAAGGCTGGCTCAACATTCAAAAAAAACAATGTAATCAATCACATCAAGAAACTAAAGAAGAAAAATCACGTGATCAGACCAATAGATGCAGAAAACGCATCTGACAAAATCCAACACCATTCTTGATAAAAACTCTCAGTAAACTAGGAATAGAGGGGGAGCTTCCTCAACTTAATAAAGAACATCTACAAAAAACCTACAATTAGTATCATACTTAATGGCTAAAACTAGACACTTTCTCTTTAAGACCAGGAAAAAGGCAGAGGTATTTCCTTTTACGGCTCTTATTCAACATCATAGGGGAAGTCCTAGCTAATGCAATGAGACAAGAAAAGGAAATAAAAGGTATATAGATTGAGAAAGAAAAAATAAACCTACTTTTGTAGCTGAAAAGATTGTTTATGCAGACAACATCAAAGAATTGACAGAAAAAAACCTCTTGGAAAAAATAAGCAATCATAGCAAGGTGGCAGGATACAAGGTTAATATGCAGAAGTCAATTTCCTACGCACCAGCAATGAACTGGAATTTTAAACACACAATACCACTTATATTAGCACCAACAAAAAGGAAATAATTAGGCATAAATCTAACAAATATTGACAAAATTGATACCATAAAAACTATAAAACTGCTGAAATACTCAAAGAAAAGCTAAATAAATAGAAAAATAGCCTATGTTCATGGACAGGAAGACTCAAATTTTAAAATTTCGAATTCTGAATAGTTTATTCATGTATATAAGTTACTGACACAGTAAGAGGGATCTTTTTTTTATCTTACAAGACCTAAAAATTACTTAATACCTTTGAAATAAAATGTTTTATTTCTGCCAAATGGCATTATGAATATAATAAGACTTAAGAGCACCAAAAGTTAGTTACTACAGCAAGATACACTAGTATACGTATATCTATTTATATTAAGAAACTCAGGGCACTTGTCTATAATTCACAAGTTACCAATCTTAAACATTTAAGCTTATGAACATATACCCATTTTTTTCTCATGTAAAAGAACAAACTTTAACATCTTTCAACCATCATAAGTGAAATAATATTAAAAGTGATATATACCAACTGGTGATTCACATAGTAGTGTTATAAAATCAAACCAAAAACATTCCAGCAACAACTGCAGGCCAGGTGTGGTGGCTCAAGCCTATAATCCCAGCACTTTAGGAGGCTGAGGTGGGTGGATCACTTGAACCCAACAGTTTGAAACTGGTCTGGGCAACAAGGCAAAACCCCGTCTCTACATAAAATATAAAAAATTAGCCAGGCATAGTGGTATGTGCCTGCAGTGCCAGCTACTCAAGAAGCTGAGGTGGGAGGATCACTAAGTCCAGGAGTTCAAGGCTGCAGTGAACAGTGATCACGTCACTGTACTCCAGCCTGGGCAACAGAGTGAGATCTTATCTCAAAAAACAAACAAAAAACAATTACAGATGCTCCTGTGAAAATATTTCAATCAGGTTACATACTTGAGACGTATTTCAGTGTTTAGAAAAGGCAATCACTATCTAAAAGAAATGAGAACTTATAAAAAATAATAAAGAACCAAAAGGAAAGCAATTGTTGAGAAAGCTATGGTTCTCAAAGATTATTAACACAGAAATTATTTGACAAGGTAAACAGAACTTCAGCTGGCCACTGCATTTAAAACATGTTTCTTATTTACTATATTTTATTATGTTTTGGCTTTTTAAAAGCTTGCTGGCCAGGGCTAGTGCTTTCTTAGAGATAAGAGGGCTCACAGGAGCATGTCTTCCATATACAAACCAACCAATCCTGAGTCTACAGCCAAATCCACCTCCTTATCTAACGCTCACATACGAAGCCAGTATTTCCTGCCCTAAATCATTCCAGAGTCAGGTACCAGGCAATTAGAGACCACCTCTACAGCTCAAAGCCTGGAGGAATCATCCAAACTCTTCAATCCTCAACTGTTTACTCTGCCCTCCCTTGCCTTTCCCAGGAAATCCCAATACTCTGGCCTGGACTTTTCCGTGGCTCCTGTCTTCTGCTTCCTGACTAAAACCTGGTGCTTCCCCTGTGTAGCATGCAGTGACCCTCCCTGAGACCTGTGAGTATAATAAAATTCTTCCTTCTAAGCCTTATTCTCATATCCCCCTGCAGCTACCCAGACTTTACCACACCGTATCCAACACCTACATTCTTAGAATAGCCACTATTAATATACAAAATAAATTTAAGTATATGCATGCTCAAAATATTGCAAAGTGAAATATTAATCACCAGATGATTATCTGCACCAATGGAACTGAGGTAAGAAACTTAAAACTAAAGTAACAGAAAACAGAAATCCTTTTTTCAAACCTAGAACATTCTGCTGTGATTAAAAAAAAAATTTGTTCCAATTCTAATTCTATGCTGACAGTAAAGCAGCTACTTATCTCTCTCTACACTGCACCTTCTCTACCACATTCTTCCCAAAGCATAAAGAATCATGAAAAACAGAAATTCTTTCTTGCCTTCGGAAAGTTCACAATAATATACACCAAGCTGCATCTTTCTTCAGCTGCATCTTTCTCCCATTACCTCTCGAAGAGCTATAAAAATATAAATATACAATACCTAAAATTAAGGCCTGGCTATATTTACTAAGATGGCCTTCAAAGTACCTATTCATTTATCCTGCCTTTTAATAATTAAGACAATAAGGCTCTAAAAACAAGAAAAGCCTATTAGTTTGAGAGTTCCTCTGACGATTCTTTGTCGAATAATTCCATCTGTAGTTAACTACTACAACAACAACAAAACACAAAATAACTTGTTAAACTGTTAAATGTTAAGGAAAATAATCTATCATATGCATAAAACAACATATTCTACTTTTCACCCAACAGACACAAAATTGTTTATGTTTCCAATAAACTGACATTTTTGGTTAATAAAATTATTTATATTTTAATCCATATTTAAAATCTTGTTTTTCAACATATCCCTATAAGATTAATAAATAAAAAGTAGCAACTTTAAATCACACAAATAAGTTCAGAAGAAACTGATTTACATTTCAATTCTATAAACATTACAGGTTCTACTTGTACCAAATGAGATGTACCTATAAAACTATGGAGACTGAGATGCGTTTTACTGTTTTGTTTTTCAATAATATTTCTCTTCACAAGTGCTATAACTTAAAAATTACACTGGATGTTCAAGACTTGTTCACAGGAAGTCTCCAATTTTTAATATAAATCGGTCAAAAAATAGTGTTCTTATTTACTTAAGAATTACAAGGAAAAAAAGGAAAATTATTTCAGAAATAAAGACAAGCTAATTGGAACACAAAGTAAAAGACCCCACAAGAAAAGAGGAAAGAGAATGGAGGAAATTTTTAAAATAACGAAGTTAGTCAAGTGTTACAGATCCTTTAGAATTTCTCTGGCAGGTTTTCCAGTTTTTACCAAAAAACTCTTCAAAAAAACAAAATAATAGAAGAAGTTAGTCAAAGAAGACCCAACATACATTCATAATTAGAGTCCCTAAAAAACAAACCCATGTAATGGAACAGAACAAATACTGAAAACCATCATACGAAAAAACTTTTCTGAAATAAAACACTTGAACCTACTCTTAAGACCATACCAAGATCAACACCAAGACATAGTCAAGTAATGGTTCTTTAAAGAAAAAGAAAAATCTTTCAGGTAACAGGCAAATGACCAAATTTCTTGTAAGAAAAAAATGTCTGAAGACTTTGAAAATGTCCATGGAGCTCATAAAAAAACATGGCTGGGTACAGTGGTTCATGCGTGTAATCCCAGCACTTTGGGAAGCTGAGGTGGGAAGATCATCACTTGAGCCCAGGAGTTCAAGACAAGCCTGAGCAACACAATGGGACCCTGTCCCAACAAAAATAAAAATAAAAATAAAAAATAAAGTTAGCTGAGCATAGTGGTGCGCACCTGTACTCCCAGCTACTCAGGAGGCTGAGGCGGGAGGATCGCTTGGCCCCAGGAGGTTGAGGCTGCAGTGAGCCATGATTGTGCCACAGCCCTCCAACCTGGGCAACTAAGTGAGAGTCTGTCTCGGAAAAAAAAAAAAAAGAAAGAAAGAAAACATGAGCCAGGGATTTTACATACAATCAAAGCTTCAAATATAATGAGTATAATGGTCACAAGCAAATAGTTTGAACCAAAAGGACTTAAAAGAATATTGTTCCCATGAGCTCACTTGTAGAATGTGAGCTTCAGATAACCAAAAAATCCTCGAAGTATCTTTGGGATAAGGTCTGATGATGAGTATTGAATATAATTTAAAATTAACACTAAGTGATCAGAATAAAGATAACAGTATAGTGTATGCAAATGTTATATGCTCATAAAATATAGATATAAAACAATTAACAAAAAAGAGAATTTACAGAAAAAGCAATGACCTACTGATACACTCAACTACCTGGATGAGTATCACATGCATCATGCTAAGTGATTACAAAATAGCCATTTTCAAAAGGTTACATTTATATAACATTCTGGCTTCAAAAGGCAAAACTATAGGGACAGAAGACAGATCAGTGGTTGTGAGGAGTTGGGGGTGGGAGGAGGGTTTGAGATAAAGGGGCAACAAGAGAGAGTTTGGCGTGGTTGTTATGTAATTTTAGTTGTGGTTGTTATGTAATTCTATTTGTCAAAACTCACAACTATACACTGAAAAAAATGTATTTTACTGCACATTAATCAATAATACATTTTAAGTGCAAAAAACCCACAGACACTGGGGAAAGGGAAGAAAAGGTGCTGAAGAGGTTACTAGCTAATTTCATTATTGCTCACAATACAAGAGTACCTTAAAAGGAGGGGACTATAGGTATTAGTATAAATGTACCTCTCTCAATGTAAAAATATACTAAACCTCTCAAAAAAAAAAGAGCAAACAAAATAGATAAAATAAAAAAATTCAAAAGCAACAAAAATGTTTCAAGTTTCCTTTCACTCCCATCCCCATTTAACCACTTCCTCTACTTACAGCCAACTAGTGTCATCAGCTATTTGTGATACCTCTTCAAAGTTTTCGATGGCATATTTGCTTCCATTTTCAAAAGGAAATAACAAAAGAATAAATCAAGAACTAATGAAAATGGTTACCTGAAGGGGGAAGAAAAAAAGGATGACGTGAACCTTCTGTGAAGTGCCTTCTTTCCTTTTTTTTTTGAGAGAGAGTCGTGCTGTCACCCAGGCCAGAGTGCAGTGAAGCAATCTTGGCTCACTGCAACCTCCACCTCCCAGGCTCAAGCGATTCTCCTGCCTCAGCCTCCTGAGTAGTAGCTGGGATTACAGGCACGTGCCACCACACCTGGTTAATTTTTGTATTTTTAGTAGAGATGGGGTTTCGCCACATTGGCCAGGCTGGTCTCGAACTCCTGACCTCAGGTGTTCCTCCCACCTCGGCCTCTTAAAGTGCTGGGATTACAGGCGTGAGCCACCGCACCTGGGCCAAGTGCCTTCTTCAACAGTCTTACTTTGAAACAATGTAAATGTTTTATATAATTAAAACAAAAATTTAAAAATCAGTCCCTAAGAATGGAAGATAATTTTAAGTAAGTGAAACTAGTATATATCAAGTTGGTGGCAGAAATACAGAAAAAAGAATTACTTCAAGTGACTTTAAAACACAGTATTTTGAATATCCATCCCTAATGGGATATATTCTAAAGACTGAAGCAAAATTAAAAAAAAAAAAAAAAAAGACTGCAAAAAAACATACAGTATTCAATGTTCTTAATACATAATTTTTTTTTTTAATTGATGGAGTTTTGCTCTTGTTGCCCAGCCTGCAGTGCAATGGCACGATCTTGGCTCCATGCAACCTCCGCCTCCTGGGTTCAAGCGATTCTCCAGCCTCAGCCTCCCGAGTCACTGGGATTACAGGCGCCCACCACCAGGCCCAGCTAATTTTTGTTACTAGTAGAGACAGGGTTTCGCCATGTTGGCCAGGCTGGTCTCAAAACTCCTGACCTCAGGTGACCCACCTACCTCTGCCTCCCAAATTACTGATATTTTAATTTGGCAATGTATCAAGATATTCTAGGCTAAAGCAAATAAATATGTAAATATCACTAGAATCAAAGATTCTCAGAATAAGAAAAAAGAAGTATAAAATGAGAGACTTTAAAACTGATTTGGAAACTCTGCAACTCATGAACTCACTTTGAAATGCATTTTAAAAAGATGGGGTGTGGATGTACAGATCTATAATAAAGTAAATATAGCAAAATCTTAATTCTAAAATCTAGGTGGTGTGTACAAGGGTATTCACTGTATTAACTCTGTCTTCTGTATGTTTGTAAATGTTGGGGAGGAAAACTCCTTAGATTCTGTACTATACAAATCACAAAGAATCACTGGGATGAATCTCAACTCTTAACCAGTCTGTTTTTCCATCTGACAACAATTACTTCTCATCAACCATTTTAAAACATTTCAACCACTCCTCCAAAAAACTATCCATACTACTAAATCATCCACAAAGCCAAAAAGGTCTAGGACCAACAGATCATTTCTCCTTATCTTGGAATGTTAATCAACCTAAGTGATTCCAGCAATAGGCAAAGAGCAAGAATTCAATATATCTGAGATAAACATAAATAGAATGGTTATAAACTGTTTTCCTGGTTCTGAAAAACTGAAATATGATTTCAAGTAATATATTCATCAGGACAAAACTATATACAATCTTAAAGTTATATGACATGGGTGTCTTTAAGACATTAAAATGAAATTTTCTTCCTGAATTTTCAATTAAATTTATATTAAAGTGAAAGTATAAGAACTGGTACCCATGAGAATAATTTTTTTTAATCTCTCATGTGACTCAAATACATCTTAAACCTATTTTTCTTTCTTAGACTAATGTTGAAAGCAGTTTTAATAGAGAAAAAAAGCTGGAGAGAATATACTCCAAAATGTCAACTGCCATTAATCCAGGTGGTAGGATTGTATATGCTTTTAAAAATATGTTATTTTTTTTCTATTTCACAGGATTTGTTTATTTGATTTTCCCTTTTGCATTAAGAATGCATTACCTTGTAATTGGAAAAAAAAATTTCTTGGGAAAAAAAAAACACCTATACTTGTTAAGTATAAAATAACTGACAGAGTAAGAGGTAAGGGTGATTTGGGATTTAAACTGCACTAAAGATAACCACTTCAAGAATAATTTGAGAAACATGATGGTTATATATCTTTAGGTCACTTTTCCCATATTTCATACCTTCTTAAATAACCAATTTTTCTCTCCACCAAAAATGTGGCTCCTACCATTCTTAATGGTTTTTAGAACATATCCAAAATCCAAGACTCACATTCTGTTCATTCCATAAATATTGACTATCTATACTCTGTACTATGCACAGCAAGTGCTAGGGGATTACAAAAGAAAAGATGTTATTATCCCTACCCACCTCTACTTAGTTAACATATTTATGCAGCACCTATTTTGTGTCTGGCATTGTTCTACACAACATGGATATAGCAGTAAACAAAACAGACCAAAAAAGCCTCTCTGATAAAGATTTTCTTCTCTTGTCTTTCATTGTTATGCCCTACACTTAGCCAAATGCAGCAAATCCACCTCAGAAATCCCTCTGCATCTCCTTAAAACTCACTAAAAACAGCAATATATAAATCTCTCATTTTGTCTGAGTATATCAGCTCCGTGCTGATTTCATTTTTTCCCTACCCAGCCTGAACTAAAATGGTCCATTTAGATATTCCCTCACCCGTAACCTCAATTACTACAATTGTTCTTCCAACTTACCTAACCTATAGTTTCCCATTTTGCATCAATCATACAATTCAACTTTCCTCTCTAACCAGCTGGGTATATAGTAAAAAATTGTAAGTATGTAAACCGCTGTCACAAATTTGTGGTTTTAAATCTCACAGTTCCTCAATACCTTCACTTCTCTGATCAATGAACATTTACTAAATATCTATGTGTAGGATGACACAGATAAAGCTGTGGCAAAGACAAAAGTCTGTGCCCTCCCTAAAGGGATACTCTAACGGGTAGGACAGATCTTAAATAAATAATTATGAAGGTGATTAAATGCTATGAAGGGGAAGTACAAGATGCTGTGAAAGGGTGTTAACAGAGGAGCCTCATCTTGTTTGGAGGTGAAAAGGCTGTCAAGACAGGCTTCCAGAAGTAGTGATAAGTGCCAATAAATAAATTCCGCACAGCATCCCACCTTCCTAATTTATACTTAAAACCCCATATCCCACCTACTGGGCAAAGAAACTTGCCTCATTCGCCTCCTCAGCCTTCTCCTGGACTCACTAGTGATTCCTTCTCCTCAGCATATACATACAACAAGGTCTCTCCCACCCAAACATAAATTGCAATAATTTTTCCGGAGAGTAATTTGGCCATGTGCATCATAAGCCTTAAAAATGTGCATACCCCTTCTTGTGATCCATAATTCCACTTCAAGAAATCTTTCCTACGGAAATAAAGACAAATTTCATGCAAAAAAGAGTATTTAGAATAGTGAAAGAATTAAAACAATCTAAATAACTGGCAACAGGAGAACAGCTATGGATGTGCCTTAATAAACTTAGACTATGCCACAGCCAAAAATAAAAAGATATTCAGAGCTTTTAATCTCATAGAAGAATGCTTATAATTATGTAAGAAACATACTATAACTGCTACATAGAAATAAATCAATAATAATCCTCTACAAAAAAATTCAAAAATAAGCCAGGCATAGGATACATCTCTGTAGTCCTAGCTACTCGAGTGGCTGAGGCAGGAGGATCACTTGAACCCAACAGTTTACAGTGAGCTATGGTTACAGTGAGCTATGAATGCGCCACTGCACTACAGCCTGGGCAACAGAGAAATACCCTGTCTCCCCAAAAATACTAAATAAATCAATGATAAACACAGGATGTAAAAACCTGTATAAAGAGGATACCAGGCCGGGCGCGGTGGCTCACACCTGTAATCCCAACACTTTGGGAGGCCTAGGTGGGAGGATCACGAGGTCAAGAGATCGAGACCATCCTGGCCAACATGGTGAAACCCTGTCTCTACTGAAAATACAAAAAGTAGCTGGGCGTGGTGGTGTGCGCCTGTAGTCCCAGCTAATGGGAGGGAGGCTGAGGTGGGAGAATTGCTTGAACCTGGGAAGCAGAGATTGCAGTAAGCCGAAATTGCACCACTGCACTCCAGCCTGGCAACAGAGCGAGACTCTGTCTCAAAAAAAAAAAAAAGAGTATAACTAAGCTTAAAATATAAGTGTATATATAAAATCCGAAAGAAACGAGCAGAAGTATTGATAGCAATTAATTATACAAAAATCATGGTTTAGTTTTCTCCCTTACATTTTTTCTGTACTTTTTTTTCTTTCCTGAATTTCCAAAATTTCTTCCCCCCCCCCCCCCCGCCCCCCGAAATAGAGTCTCACTCTGTAGCCTAGGCTGGAGTGTAGTGACAGAAACACAGTTCACTGCAGCCTTGACCTCCTGGGCTCAAGCGATCTTCCTGGCTCAGCCTCTCATATAGCTGGGACCACAGGTGCATGCCACTACACCCGGCTAATTTTATTATTTTTATTTATTTATTTATTTTTTGAGATGGAGTCTGGCTCTGTTGCCCAAGCTGGAGTGCAGCGGCGCGATCTTGGCTCACTACAGCCTCTGCCTCCCAGGTTCAAGGGATTCTCCTGCCTCAGCCTCCCAAGTAACTGGGTACAGGAATGCGCCACCACGCCCAGCTATTTTTTTGTATTTTGGGTAGAGACAGGGTTTTACCATGTTGGCCAGGCTGGTCTCGAACTCCTGACCTCAGGTGATCCACCCACCTCAGCCTCCCAAAGTGCCGGGATTACAGGCATGAGCCACCATGCCCAGCCTAATAAACAGGGTCTCGCTTTGTTGCCCAAGCTGGTCTCGAACTACTGGGCTCAGGCAATCCTCCCACCTCAGCTGCCAAAAGTGCTGGGATTACAGGCATGAGCCACCACGCCTGGCCTTGAATTATCAAATTGGCAGTGTATTACTTTTCTAAATGGGTTGTGAATTATTGTTTCTCACAACAGCAACACAGCTACTAAGTCCACTGGCACATTATCTCCATTCCTTACCTCTCTTTGACACACTGCACCTGCTATCACCCCAATTTTAAGGAAACTGCTATCACAAGGACTAATTAACCCCCCAAATGACAAACCAGTGGAGACTTAGCAGTCCTCCTTTGAACTGACTTCCTTGGCTTCTGAAAACACCTAGGATCTGCCTTCTAATTCTCTGACCATTCTTTTATAGAATCTTAGATGATTATGTAACAAGAAGAAATTGTTTTAAAAAATTCATAAGTACATGAAAAGAATCTCAGACGAATTCCCTCCTTCTATATGTCCTTTAAATATGGTGTTTCAGGTGTCCACCCTAGGCCCTCTTTGTTTTTGTTACATTACATACTTGGGTGATCCTATCAATTCCCATGGCTTTAACAACTTAACCTTCTGACCACTCCAAAATCTACCTTCAGCCCTACTCTCCTAAATCCCATTTATTTTTAGTCAAAGCCTTTGCTATTAATTTTCTGGGATTCCCCTAGCAGCTCAAACACTGTTCTCATCATCATCTTCTTTAAAGATCCACTTCCTGGCCAGGTGTGATGGCTCACAACTGTAATCCCAGTACTTTGGGAGGCTGAGGCAGGAGGATCCCTTGAGCCCAGGAATTTGAGGCTGCAGTGAGCTATGATCACACAACTGCACTCCAGCCTGGGCAACAAAGTGAGGCCCTATCTCTTAAAAAAAAAAAAATCCTCTTCTGGTATTTTCTGATGTATTTAGTCACATCACTATCCATTTAATCTTCTAAGACAAAAGCTAGGGAGTCATTCTTAACATTCTCTCAACAACTACCTTTACGTGCTTACTACTCCTACTTCCTAATCAAGGAAATAAAGACAGATTTCATGTAAAAAATTAAGTCCTAATTAGTTAACAAATCTGTCTACTTTCCTCTACAACCCCACCACACAGATTAAACCCTCAATTTATTATTACAATAACCCAACTGATCTCTAGAAGTCAGTCTCAGATCTATTTTCCATATTACCCTCAGATAACCCACCTAAAAAGCAAATCCAACCATATAATTCCCTTGCTTAAAACTAGCACCTGAAAGATAAAAGGTAACACCCATTAGCATTAGAAGTCCCTTCATGATCATCTCCAGACACATTCCTCCCACAAAACTTTATGCTGAGCTTCCTCCAGCAGCAGCAGTGGCAGCAGCCAGCAGCAACAGCAGCAGCAAGAAGACACGAGTTTGCTGTGCACCAGGCATCTTTTTTCAGAGCAGCATCAAGCTACCTTGAGTTTGCTTCACACCAGGTACTCTAATAAGTGCTTTAAGTGAGTTATGTAATTTAGTCTTATGAGGTTGGCACTATTATTTCCTTTTCACAGACTGAGAGAGTCTGTCAAAAAATACAAAACCACAGAACCAGTTAAGTAGCAGAGCCAAGATTTACATCTCCACTATATTTCTCAACAAAAGTAACTAGTCAGCTTCTAAAACAGCTACTAATCTTTAACATCTCTGTTCATATCCTATCTTGTGAAGGATACCTGAGCAACTGAAGGACAGAGAAGCTTATGTTTAACTGTATTCCTCTTCTGTAATTTTATGTAAGCTTCCTAGATAGACTTCCCTGATCACCACCCTGTCTTCCAACAGTGTTGGTTACCTCCTCCAACATACTTCTCTAATTTGTTTATATGTCTACTACTGTGTATCTCATACTGGATTTTATTAGTTACTTACATGTTCATTTCCCTTCTTACCTGCAAACTTCTGGAAAGTAGGTACCCTTTCTCAGCCATGTTTACAGCCCTGTCTCCATCTCTGTCAATCCTAGGTTCTTAGCACAGTATCTGGCACATAACAGGTACTCGACAAACTAAATCTCCTCGTCTGTTATTTTCCTCCTGTTATTTTTTTTTTTAAATCTCTATCACACTCTATCCTCAGGCAACCGCCTCACAACCTAACTCCTAGCCCTAGCCCGTAAACTCTGTAGCAGTCTTGCAGACCGCCATCACACACTTCATCCTCTCCCCACTTTGTATTATCTTTCTAAAGCAGGTATCATATATCTTCCCTACTCAAAAAGATTGAAGGCAGTCTGGGTGCAGTGACTCATGCCTGTAATCCCAACACTTAGGGAGGCAGGAGGATAGCTTGAGGCCAGGAGTTCAAGACCAGCCTGTGCAACATACCGAGACCCATCTCCACAAAAAAAAAAAAAAAAAAAAAATGCTGGGCATGGTGACGCACACCCATAGTCCCAGCTACCTGGGAGGCTAAGCTGAAGCAGGAGGATCACTTAAGTAAGGGAGGTCAAGGCTACAGAGAGCCTTGATTGTGCCACTGTACTACAGCCTGGGTGACAGAGCAAGACTCTGCTGCAAACAAAAACAAAACAAAACAAAAAACTGAAAGCTCCCTTCTACCTATAGAGTATATTTCACCCTAGAACTATCATCAAGGCTCTATAACATCTGATTCCATTCTCACTTTTTTTCCTTTTTTTTTTTTTTGAGAGATGAAGTCTCACTCTGTCGCTAGGCTGGAGTGCAGTGGTGTGATCTCGGCTCACTGCAACCTTTGTATCCTGGGTTCAAGCGATTCTTCTGCCTTGGCTCCCCAAGTAGATGTGACTACAGGCATGTGCCACCACACCCAGCTAATTTTTGTACTTTTTAGTAGAGATGGGGTTTCACTATATGTTGGTCAGGCTAGTCTCGAACTCTTTATCTCAGGTGATCCACCCGCTTCGGGCTCTCTAAGTGTTGGGATTACAGGCATGAGCCACCACACTCAGCCTGTTCTTACTTTTATAACTCTTCCTTATAATCCAAGTCCCCAACAATACTGAACCATGTATCTCTGCCAAAGACCACAAAGTTGCACTCTTCCTGTGAGACTATTCTGGCCATTTACCATAGTCTGGAATGTTCTTCCCCAAAAAGGCCTCTCAAATTCTTACTCATTTTGTAAGGTCTACCAACTACTACTTCCTGTATAAATATTTCCTTGAGCCAAAATTAATTACTCTCTCCTCAGTTTTCCCATACATGGTCTCATTTCTAAGTACTTAGTATATTATGTCTTAAGAGTTGCATATTTCTGCTTCCTGCCTTGTCCCACCATATCTTCCAAACACCATATACCAACAGTTTGGTCAACAAAGGACTATGTATGTAGTCCTCTGTTGGACAGACCAGGTATGTAGTAGGTACAGCCCAGGTATGTAGTAGGCTATACCATCTAGGTTTACATAAGTACCCTTTACGATGTTCATAAAAAAACATCGCCCAATGACTCATGTCTTAGAACATGTTCCGTAGTTAAGTGACATATGACTACACTAAATTTGATCTTCCTCAAGGGCAGGGACCACATTCAGTTCACTCACTGTATTAATTGAGTTTCTACTAAATGTCAGGTCCTCTAGTAAGAACTATGAATAAGACAAATCAATAAAATAATTTCTTATCCCCACTCAGCTGCTGACGATGTGCTATATCATAGGTGTTCAACATATATTTGTTAAATAAATATATTGCTTACTTATAATAAATGTATTGTTTACTCTTTGTTCACATTTACCCTGTGCTTCCATTTGCTGCTTACAACGAATCAAACCTAGAAGGAAAGATCCTTCTAGTTTTCAAAGCTAGACAGGAAGAAAGACCTTTGTTCTCCTCCCCCGCCAAGAAATAAACTAGAAAGTCAGCAAGCATAAAAGGAACATTCTGAAAGAGTGCACTTTATTATCAGCAGAAGAATTTAGGAACAGAACAGAGAGACTGAATTACTTGCCAGTTCTTACTGAAACACTGTCAAAGAGTGGCATCAATATTTTGTTTGAAGAGCTAAAAATACCATTCATAATAAATTATAATTCTAAAAACTTTCAAATAAAAATTTTGTTCTCTCTCACATTTAGAATTAACAGTATGTCCACTGCCTCTATTAATATGCATAATTTAAAATTTGAATGAAATCCCTGAACTGAAAGTACCTAAGATACAGACTCCTTAAAGAAATTCATCTCAACGGTCAATGATCACTAAAAAGAAGGGAAAGTAAACACACACCCGTTAAATATATGCCCTAAAGAAGTTATGCAGGGCCAGGCATGGTGGCTCACGTCTGTAATCCCAACACTTTGGGAGGCCGAGGTGGGTGGATCATTTTGAGGTCAGGAGTTCAAGACCGGCCTGGCCAACATGGTGAAACCCCATCTCTCCTGAAAATACAAAAATTAGCTGGGTGCGGTGGGGCATACCTGTAATCCCAGCTACTAGGACAGACTAAGACAAGAGAATTCCTTGAACCCAGGAGACAGAGGTTGCAGTGAGCCAAGATTGTGCCACTGAACTCCAACCTGGGTGACAGAGACTCCGTCTCAAAAAAAAAAAAAAAAAAAGTCATGTAGATAAAGTGATTTAATTTTTCTTGTGAAATGCATTAGATTTTATTTTTAAATTAATAATATTTAAAGACTATTTAGTCCTAATAAATTTATTTAGCTGCACATATACAAAACTTAGGTTCAGTTTAAATGAAAACTCATGGCAGAAAATGAAATATATTCTTTCACTCAATAAAAGGAACTTTCTTCAGGTCTCATTTTCTAGGCAATAAAGAAATACAAGTAACAATCATGACAGTCATATTCCTAATTTTCCAGGGTAAACCTAGAAATAACGTACACCATAGGA
Source organism: Homo sapiens (assembly GCF_000001405.40). Taxonomy (NCBI): domain Eukaryota; kingdom Metazoa; phylum Chordata; class Mammalia; order Primates; family Hominidae; genus Homo; species Homo sapiens. The sequence goes on from NC_000006.12 coordinate 13,691,478, forward strand.
ATTAAAAGTCTTTACAAGCACATAATACATTAACACCAGTTCTTTCTACCCTATTGAAAGAGGCAATTCACATCCAACTCTTGCCATTTCATGAGAAAATTTGTTGCCAAGGACAATTTATTTTAAAAACTGAGATCTGGGATAAACACTGTTTAAAAGAAAACTCAGTGTTTTTTTTTTGTTTGTTTGTATGTTTGTTTGTTTTTGAGACTGAGTCTCGCACAGTCACCTGGGACGGAGTGCAGTGGCGTGATGTCGGCTCACTGCAACCTCTGCCTCCTGTGTTCAAGCGATTCTCCTGCCCCAGCCCCCCAAGTAGCTGGGATTACAGGTGCCTGCCACCACGCCTGGCTAATTTTTTGTATTTTTAGTAGAGACGGGGTTTCACTATGTTGGCCAAGGCTGGTCTTGAACTCCTGACCTCATGATCCACCGGCATCAGCCTCTCAAAGTGCTAAAGGCTAGAGCCACTGTGCCCAGCGAAAATTCAGTTTTAAATTAAGCAGAATAAACTCTCAGATGGGCACACATCACTGCAAACAAAAGGTTCCTAACAGCTACTCTTTCTGGTCCATACTTTACAAAGATGTTGAGATTTTTAGGAAATAATCTTTTCTCCAGAAAAACATTAGTTGGCCAAAATTAGCAATATGAGTTGCTTTTTTTTCATAAATGAATTGTTCTTTGCTTCCAAAAACAATGGGCTGGGCCTAGAACTTTGTTCGACACGTTTACCAGAGAGATAAATGAATGTGACCAAAGAAGTACAATAGTTTGGCCAGGCGCGGTGGCTCACACCTATAATCCCAGCACTTTGGGAGGCCGAGGCGGGTGGATCACCTGAGGTCAGGGGTTCGAAACCAGCTTGGCCAACATGGCAAAACACACTAAAAGCACAAAATAAGCTGGCCGTGGTGGCGCATGCCTGTAATCCAGCTACTCGGAAGGCTGAGGCAGGAGAATCACTTGAACCTGGGAGGCAGAGGTTACAGTGAGCTGAAATCACACCATCGCACTCCAGCCTGGGCAACAAGAGCGAAACTCCGTCTCAAAAAAAAAAAAAAAAAAAAAAAAAAACACAAAAAACAAAAAGGCAGGGCACAGTGGCTCACACCTGTAATCCCAGCACTTTGGGTGGCAGAGGCAGGCGGATCACCTGAGGTCAGGAGTTTGACACCAGCCTGGGCAACAGGGTGAAACCCCATCTCTACCAAAAATACAAAAATTAGCCAGGTGTGGTGGTACATGTCTGTAATCCCAGCTACTTGGAAGGCTGAGACAGGCAGAATTGCTTGAACCCAGGAGGTGGAAGTTACAGTGAGCCAAGATCGTGCCACTGCACTCCAGCCTGGGCAACAGAGCAAGACTCTGTCTCAAAACAAAACAAACAAAAAAATAGTTTTCTCCAAGAACATACAAGAAATAGTACTTCTTCTAATCCATTCATTTATTCATACCTTTAAAAGCCAGCTATAAGTTAAGTACTGGAGTTATAGAAATTAAAATAGTCCCTTACTCTTAAATCTGTAGGGTCATGTTGGCAGTAAGCAGACAATTGAAACAATACAAATATCATAATTACAGTCTGGCCAAAATGTAAAGGAGGCATAGAAAAGGCATATTCCTACTTTAAGGAGAAAATGCCATAAGAAAGGTACTCCTAAACTAGGACTTGAAGACCAATTAATTAGCTAGGCAAATAGAGAAAGGGATAAGAGAAGGTGAAGGAAGGGCATGCATAAGGAACTAGAAATATAAGCCAGCATGCGTAGTCAGAGAACTCCAAATGGTACCTTATAGGTGAAGAGCAGGTGAGAATTAGGGATTCTTCAACATAATTAGTCATTAGGGAAATATAAATTAAAACCACAGCAAGAAATCACTAGAAACCTATTATAATGGCTAAAAATTTAAAAAAAAATGACAATACCTAGTGCTAAGATCAACAGGAACTCTCATACACTGCTGGTAGAAATGCAAACCAGTGGGCCAGGCACAGTGGCTCACACCTGCAATCCCAGAACTTTTGGAGGCCGAGGCGGACAGATCACCTGAGCTCAGGAGTTCAACACCAGCCTGGGCAACATGGTGAAACCCCGACTCTACTAAAAATACAAAAGATTAGCCGGGGGTGGCAGCAGATATCATATCCCTCCACAGCATGGCTGGTTTCTGTCACTCAACAAGCACATGAAACACAAGAACTATGTCTGTAAGGAACTTACTGTCTGGCTCAGGAGAAAAAAATGTATATATGAAAAACGTATATATGTAAAAGCTAGAGGCCGGGTGTTGTGGCACATGCCTGCAATCCCAGCACTTTGGGAGGCTGAGGCAGGCGGATCATTTGAGGTCAGGCGCTCGAGACCAGCCTGGCCAACATTGTGAAACCCTGTCTCTACTAAAAATACAAAAATTAGCCAGGTGTGGTGGTGGGCGCCTGTAATCCCAGCTACTTGGGAGGCTGAGGCAGGAGAATTGCTTGAACCCGGGAGGCAGAGGTTGCAGTGAGCCAAGACTGCACCACTGTACTCCAGCCTGGGTGACAGAGCGAGACTCTGGCTCAGGAAAAAAACAAAAACAAACAAACAAAAAGAACAAAATGCAAACTAGTATAGCCACTTTGTGAAACAATTTGGCAGTTTCTTACAAAGTTAAAAATACACTTAACTACAATCCAGCAATCCCACTCCTAGATACTTACTCGTGAAAAGAAAACTTATGTTTACACAAAAACCTGTATATACATGTTTACAGTTCCAGCCAAAAAACTGGAAACTGAGAAGTTCTTCAACTGGGGAGTGGGTAAGCAAACTTTGGTTCACTTATCTACAAAATTAGATTTAAAAGGACTGTTCTATGAATATATACAACAGGGAGGAATCTCGAATGTGTTATGCTAAGTGAAAGATACCAGACTTAAAAGGCTACAAACTATATGATTCCATTTATATGCCATTCTTGAAATGGACAAACTATAGAGACAGAAAACCAGTCAACAGTTACCAGGAGCTAGATATGGGGAAGGGTTGTCTACAAAAGAGTATGGCAGAATTTTGGGGGATGATAGAGCTGTTCTATATAAAGCAGTCCGCATTTATCTGTGGTTTTGCTTTCCTCAGTGTTTCAGTTACCCACAGTCAACTGAGGTCCAAAAATATTAATTGGAAAATTCCAGAAATAAGCAATTTGTAAGTTTTAAACTGCATGCCATTCTGAATAACATGATAAAATCTCATGCCATTGGATTCAGTCCCGCCCTGTCCCCACCTGGGAATCATTCCTTTGTCTAGCATATCAACGCTGTATTTACCACATGCCCTTTAGTCACTGAGTAGCCCTCTCAATTATCAGACTGAAAAAAAACATAGTATATATAGAGTTCAGTACTATCTGCAGTTTCAAGCATCCACAAAGGGTCTTGCAATGTATCCCCCACAGATAAGGGGAGTCTCCCATATCAACTGCGATGCTGGTTATATGACTATACATGTTTGTCAAAACTCACAGAACAGTACACTAAAAAGAATAAAGTTTACTATGTGTAAAATATACCTAATTTTAAAAACAAAAGAAAAAGGGTAAGGTATCCTGGCTACAAAGAGACTGAAAAATGACCCAAGAGCTAGTCAGATCTGAGGGGTCCTGTTAAGAAGCTCTACATTTTATCCTTGAAGCAACAGATATCTCAAAAAACGGGTAGAGGCAACTCAGTTTTTTATTACTAAGAACCCTGACAACAGTTATAGACTAGAATAAGAGCAAAACAGGCAGCAACTGGAGACCCATCAACCAACTATCTGAGAGTAATTCAGCAGATAAATAATTGAGATCTGACAAAGGGAGAGGCAGTAGAGATGAACAGAAAAGTTAAAAGCAGGAAATTCTCAAGTTTCTAGCAATAGTGAAACCACCAACCAAATGTTTTTTTTTTTTTTTTTTTTTTTTCAGAAAAAGATTTTAAACAAGCTAAATTTAAATGCCTGTGGGACATTCAAATGCAAACATTTGGTTAGACACATTGTCTGGAGCTCGAGGGAATAAGCTAAGATGTAGCATTAGATTTGAGAATCATCAGGGTATTTGCAGCCAAATATGAGGTCAAGTTCATATAATTTGAAGTATAAAAAGAATCAGCTTACTGATTATACAGCTTGTAAAGTGAGAAATGGTGACAATCGTGTGCCTATTTCAATATGGGCCTCTCTCAACCACTCTATCCTTGGCATCTCTGATTTTCTCTTTGGCTTGATTACCCTAAGAAAACTGAGGCAGTTACATAAAAAGCTGTCACTGAATTCCAAGTTTTTATTTTCTGTTGCTCATACTGTTGACATCGAGAATATTCAGCCGATAAAGGAGTAATCTACTGAATACACTTATTTGGTTAATTAAACACAGGAGGACCACTAAGAGGGGTTTGATTTGAGGTCCATCTGACTGACCTCACAGGGCAACTTATCCACACAGCTCAATAAGCTTTGTCTTGGTAACTCAACTAAAGACCCTATGACTGCTTTAAGAGACCTCTGATATGCAATAAAGTTATCAGGAAATACTATAGGATAGATCCAATGATTCTAGGTAATTAGTGCTTAACCAGGGATAGGCACCAAAATTCAGTGTGGAGCTTTCTCAAAATGCCTATCTTGCCCAAAGCTCTACTTCTGAAAATCCTAATTTAGGAACTTTTGGGGTAAGGCCCAAAAATTACTATATTTTTAATAGTCTCATAAGTGAATTCTGATACCCATACAAACCACACACCAATCCCAAGCTGAAAAGCAATGATATAAAATTTGGTTCCAGGCCCTACCATGGAATTCTCATTTGGAAATTTCTAAACCACATCCTAAACCTTGAAAATCTCCTCTAGTTGAGAGCAT